>NW_025791777.1:1170467-1325653 GCF_000001405.40 Homo sapiens | reverse complement strand
CTCTTTATGAATGTTAAATACTTAAAATAGCACCAAACATAACAAAACAAAACAAAAACAAAATTTGTTTTTTATTTCAAATGGCATGTTCCATTGCGTTCTAAGACTGGACTGTCTTGGAGATAAAGGAGACTTCATTATTTTATGTAATATTCCTTTGAGAAATCCTGAGCTTTGTGCAAAAATGACATACTTCATTTTTTTTTTGCATAATTTTGTCACTCCATAGAGCCCAGATCGAGTTCCTAAGTTCTCACTAAGGCACATGGGTCTAATTCCATTACATTTTTGGCCTGTGTCAATTAATTTTCTTTTCTCAGATAATAAATTTACACTCCTATTCCACTTCTGAGCAGTTAGACATTTTCAGCATGGAACATTCTATTAAAATGAAATGGCAAATTGCCTTGTAGCACACACATTTTCAAAGAATGTTTTGTCTGATAATGTAGTTCTTATGAGTTTCTTTCCAAAGTAATCCATTTACACAAAATACATTATTAATTTTGTGCATTTACAAACTACACATAATTTCAAAGTGATGTCATTGTTCCACAAATACATCTAGGTTTCAAAGTGATTGATTAAATTCTGTTTAAAATTTTGCACAGAAGTGCAGTATATAATCACATTTTATATCCCTCTGTGCAGGATATAGTTTTCTAAATCATACTCCGTTGTCAGGAGCATGTTCATCTTCCATACAGAACACACTGACTGAAAATAAGATCAAGTCTACACATTTGGGATATAAATTTTTGAGATTACTGCTCTTGGTATAATATATCTCTCTTGTACTTGAGCCTCTAGATCTTGCTGTTTTTAACACTTTTGTGCTCGCAAGATTTACGCTTCTGTATACTTTGTTTATATTCAGCAGCTAAGTATATTTTGTCCTGTTATCATGACTCAACCTGTGATTTGTTTCAAAAGTACAAGTAAGATTTTAAACATAATTATAGTGTAATCTCTTTAAATTTTGCTGCATTATCACTCAGAATGAGAAAAATATAAATTAAAAGTGTGTGCACATGTATACACATTGTTCAATATACAAACTTAGGTATCATGTTAGATTCATCACGATTTGAAAATGAAATCTGATTATAATACTTGCAAGATGACTTACAAGTTAATATTTATATGTACACTTACAATTTTTATAATTTTTAAAACCATCCAATATGTTAGTTTTCTTTGATTTCTAATGATAACAGTAGAAATATCTGGCCCTGGTTATCACATCTGGTTGTTATGATCAATAGAAACGATATATGCAAAAGCAAATACATTTTAAAACTTTTTAATATTAATTTTTATTGTTACATATTCTGAATAATGCAGTTTTATAGTTATTATTATAACATGACACAAATGGTAGAGATTTTGATGCCTACATTTTTAATAAAAATGTTCAAAACCATATTTCACAAGATGTATCATGCTGTAAGGTTGCAACAGCCCTCTCAAATAGAGTTCTGCCTTTCTCTTGCCATTTAAACTAATGCTATCTGAGAGTGCAACAGAAGGCCCTCATTACATGCTGGTATCTTGATCATTGACTTCCTTGCCTACAGAACTATCAGAAAATAATTTTCTATTTTTTATAAATTACCCAGTCTCAGGTATTTTGTTACAGCAGCACAAAACAGACTAAGACATAAAGTGTAAAATTATCCTTCCATATTGCTGCAAGTGAAATGATGTTATTTTTTATAGCTGTGTAGTATTCATTGTGCGTGTATGTGTGTGTATATATGTATATATGTATATCACATCATTTTCTTTATCCAGTTATTTGTTGATGGACACATGTTGATTCAATATCTTTGGTATTATGAATATTGCTGCTATAAATAAATGAGTGCAAATATCTTTTCTGGTATAATGATATTTTTTCTTTTGGGTATACACCCAGTATAGGATTGATAGAGTGAATTGTGGCTCTTTAATACTTGAAAAAATTTTCATACTGTTTTAATAGAGGTGGGACAAATTTACATTCCTTCTAATTATACTATAAGGCTATAGTAACAAAAACAATATGATAGTGATATAAAAATGGACACAATACTCAATAGAGCAAAATAGAAATTCCAGGAATAAAGTGACAAAGGCACTTTGTCACTTTATTAGTGGATATTTATAAAGGGACCTACCTACAGTCAATGGATGTTTGACAACATTGAAAAAAACATACACTGGGAAAAGGATATCCCCTTCAATAAATAGTGCAGGGAAAATTGGAAAGCCACATGCAGAGGAATAAAACTGGGCCCCTATCTGTTGCCATCCACAAAATTAACTCAGGATGAATTGAAGAATTAAATATAATACCTGAAGATATAAAAGTACTCATAGAATACCTGGAAAAACTCTTCTAGACATTGGCCTTGGCAAAAAATTTGTGACTAAGACCTCAAAAGCAAATTTAGCAAAAACAAAAGTAGACAAATGGGACTTAATTAAACAAAAAAGTTTCTGCACAGCAAAAGAAATAACTGAGAAAACAGATAACCTGAAGAATGTGAGAAAATATTTGCAAACTATGCATCCAACTAAGTACTAATATCCAGAATCGACAAGAAATTCAAACAACTCAACAACAACAACAAAATAGATAACCCCATTAAAAAATGGACAAAGTACATAAACAGGCATTTCTCAAAAGAAGACATACTAGTGGACAGCAAACATATGAAATAATGCTCAGTCTCATCATCAGAGAAATAAAAATTAAAACCACAACGAAATGTCACCTTATACTAGTCAGAATGGCTAGTTTTTAAAAGTCACAACACATCAGGTATTGATGAGAATGCAGAGAGAAGTGAGTGAATCCTTATATAGTATAGGTGACATTTTTATTTATAGAATATCAAAATAGTTACTTAAAATTCATTTGAATTATAAAATATTAAAATGTAGATTTATGAATACTTTGTACTTTCTAAAAGTTTAACCACAATAAAAATCCAAACTACCACTGTTGTGTCCATAATAATTCATAATTGTATGTGATGATGTTGAGAAATCTTCCTAAATATTAGGATGAGTCCCTCATTTATTTTAATGAAAATATCATTCTTAAAAGCATGTCAAGGAATATAGCTCAATAATTCAACAAATAACATTTGCAAATTGATAATCCATGGTTCAAAGATGTCAAGATGAACTCAAAGTCTACAGGGATACCCTTTTGATTCAAGGAAATAATGTTACCCTAAATGAGAGAAGATAGGGAAGACCATGTCAAATGAATCACTTTTTGATGTGGTTTGGCTGTGTCCCCACCCAGATCTCATTTTGAATTTTAGTTCTCATAATCCCCATGTGTCATGGGAGGCACCTGGTGGGAGGTAATTGAATCATGAGGGCGGTTACCCTCCGTGCTGTTCTTGTGATAGTGAGTGAGTCTCACAAGATCTGATGGTTTTATAAGGGGATTCCACATTTGCTCGGCTCTCATTCTTCTCCTTCCTGCTGCCATGTGAAGAAGGACTTGATTGCTTCCCCTTCCACCATGATTGTAAGTTTCCTGAATGTTCCCCAGCCGTACGGAACTGTTAGTCCATTAAAGTTCTTTTCCTTATAAATTACCCAGTCTCGGGTATTTCTTCATAGCAGCATGAGAACAGACTAATACACACTTCAATATTGATTTACATTTCTATGATCATCAGTGATCTTGAGTATTTTTTAATGTTTGTTGGCAACCTGCATGTCTTCTTTTGATAAATGTTTGTTTATGTCATTTGCCTACTTTGTAATGACATAATGTGTTTATTATTTATTGGGTTCCATGTAGATTCTGGATATTAGTACTTCGTTAGATGCATAATTTGTGAATATTTTCTCCTGTTCTGTAGGTTGCCTGTTTACTCTGTTGATTATTTCCTTTGCTGTGCAGAAGATTTTTAGTTTACTTAGGTCCCATTTGCCTATTATTATTTTTGTTTCATTTGCTTCTGATGACTTAGTCATAAATTCTTTGTCAAGGCTGATATTCAGTAAAGTTTTCCTAGGTTTTCTTCTAGGAATTGTATAGGTTTTTACATTTGAGTATTTAATCAATCTTGAGTTAATTTTTATATATGGTGAGATATAGGAATCCAGTTTTACTCTTGTGTATACGGATATCCATTTTTTCTAGTACAATTTATTGAAAAAGGTATCCTTTCCACATTGTTTATTTGTGCACGCTTTGTTGAAGATTAGTTGGTTGTAGGTATGTGGCTTTATTTCTTGGTTCTCTATTTAATTTTATTAAACTATGTATCTGTTTTTGTATTGGTACCATGCTGTTCTTGTTACTATAGGTTTGTAGTATAATTTGAAATGGGGTGAAGTGCTGACTCCAGCTTTGTTCTTTTTGCTTAGAATTGCTTTGGCTATCTGGGTCATTTTTTCAATTCAGAATTTCATATACACTTTGGGATTGTTGTTTTCTAATTCTGTGAAAAATGACATTGGTAGTTTGATAGAAATTGCACTGAATCTTTAGATTGCTTTGGACACCATGGTCATTTTTAATTTTTTTTAATCCATGAACATGGGATATTTTTCCATTAGTTTGTTTTATTTCAGGTTTCTTCCACCCATCTTTTGTAGTTCTTATTGTAGAAATATTTTACCTCCTTGGTTAAACGTATTTCTCAGTTATGTGTGTGTGTGTGTGTGTGTGTGTGTGTGTGTCTATTGTAAATGAGATTGAGTTCTTGATTTTGTTCTCAGCTTGAATATTATTGCTATATAGAAATACTACTGACTATTGGACATTGACTTTGTATTCTGAAACTTTATTGCAGTCTTTTGCCAAGTCTAGGAGTCTTTCAGAGTCTTTAGGGTTTTCTTTGTATAAGACCATGCCATCTCTTAATGTAACTTCTATCCCAACTTTTGTGGTAATTTTTTTCTTGCATTTTTCATAATTTTATTTTCTAATTTGTTTATCCAGAAATACCATTTAGTTCTGTTTGGTATTAGACTTGAAAACAGTGCAAATTTTCTTTCTTAATAAATAATGAAAATAAATTTCGTTTTTGAAATTCATCCATGTTTTTGCTTAGTTCATTCATTTTTACTGATGTATTGAGTAGTCTTAAGTTACCAATTTCATTTTTAATAGTTATGCTTTTTCCAAAAATTTTATAATAATTAGTAGTTTTATCATGACTATTCCTATATACATATTCATATAAATGCATAACCAAGAGTGCAATTGCTCATTTGGAGGGCATGCCATCTTTAGCACTATGACTATTAAATAAATTGTTTGCATTGATTAAGAGAGTGATATTCCACATCATCACCAGGACTGTGGATTGTCAGACATTTTAAGTAACTGTGGCTCCCCATACAGGATAACTTGGTTAAACTTGCTATTCACTTGGCATCCCTAGCATTATATTATTGTCATCATAAGAATGGAACCCAAAGTTCTGGAGTTTTTAATCAATTATTAAACAACAATTAATCGAATAGCGTGTAAGTTCCTAACCTTGTGCTAGCCGTTGTCCTACGTTTGTGATAAGAATAGATAAAGTGCCCTTCTACCTAGCAGTTTAGACAATAAACAAGGAGAAAAGAAATTAAATGTGTATTGTATGATAGCAGGTTAGTGATAATCACTAATAATCCAATGAGTTTATATGATACCAAAATATTGATTAGATCAGGAAATCACTGCTAAAGAGGAAACATTATTTATCAGTATGTTTATAACAGATGGAGCAATGAGTATAAAAGTCATGTGTTAGGGTATGCAAGATGATGATATAGAGCAGAGTAATCAAGGCAAAGGATAATGGTAGGTGGAGAAGCCAGCTTATAGTTCTGAGCAAGATTATATCTTTAGCTTTTATTAGGCATGTAAATGAAATACTTTTGAGATTTTCAGCTGGAAAAATGAAACTAATGTGAAATGCATTATATTGCCAGAGATGACTTCCATTGCCTGGTGGGGAAGAGACTGGAGGAAGGATGGATAATGGCAGCACACAGATGCTGCTGAGAAGCTATTTTAGTAGTTCATGTAAGAGACAATTGTCAAATTTGCAATAAACTTCCAGGTGAAATGGAATTGACTTTCTAATGGCTTGGAATGGTGTATATAAAACAGCTGGTAATGACTCCATGTTTTGAAGCTTTAGAAAATAGATTAATAATGGCTCAAATTACTGAGTGAAAAATTACTGGGAAAGAAGCAGGATTGGCAGGATGCAGATAAAGAATTCTCTTTTACTTACTAAGGTTGAGATGCCTATTTGATATTCAAGGCAGTCGCAAATGAGATGAGTGTTCAGGAATGAGATATCAGCTAAAGATATAAATTTTAGTCTTGTGCCCATATCTTAGCTGCAAGGAAGGATTTTATGAACTGCTGGTGAGACTGTAAATCAGTGCAATCAACGTAGACAAAGAAATAAATGCATACACCATGTCATCTTGTAATAACTCCCAACCCCCAACACCTAAAGAAGAGACTGTGTGTTTAAGTTGGGAGTGTATTGTGGAGTAAGAATAAGAAACAGGATGGGTGCTATAGGGAGAGAGAGTAAAATCTAGAACACATTATTAAGTTAGGTGATGGAATACTATATGACCATTCACTGAAGTGAAACAACGGGGGAAATATGTATCCATCAGCTCTAGGAGTTCCATTTTTCAAGCATAGCCTCATGGATGCTAACTTCTCGATGTGTCTAGACAGTGCATTTATGAGTAACAAGCAAAATGCCTACAACAATCCACACAACATTGTCTGAGAAATCCCGCAGCAGAAAGTGAATTCTTGCTCTGGTCTGAAGCCACATACTATCACTTCCATCTTTATGAAACTGACCAAAGTCTACATAAAAATAGTAACCAAGGCTCTGACTGGAACAAGAGGTAATGCTGAGAGGGTCTGCAGTGATGTAAGATCCAATACACCCTATGATTTTTAAATTTTGTTCCTGGGTTTATATCCTAGAGAAACTCTGACATATATATGTGTATATATATATACATTCATATATATACACATTTAATATATATATACACACATACACATTCATAGCAGCTTTTTGTTGAAATAGCAAAAAATGAGAAAAAAACTAAATGGCAATATAATGAACAAAAGGGAGCTGTGTTTTGATATTTTTATATAGTACAATGCTAAACAGCATTTAAAATAATTGATAAGAATTATATGGGCCAACATAGATGGACATCATCAATGTCATATAAAACAAAATAAAGCAGAAGGTAGATAGACACTTTTTTTTTGAGTCGGAGTTTTTGCTCTGTTGTCCAGGCTGGAGTGCAGTGGCGTGGTCTTGGCTCACCGCAACCTCCGCCTCCCGGGTTCAAGCAATTCTCCTGCCTCAGCCTCCTGAGTAGCTCGGATTACAGGCACCCTCCACCACGCCTGGCTAACTTTTGTATTTTTAGTAGAGACAGGGTTTCACCATGTCGGCCAGGCTGGTCTTGAACGCCTGACCTCAGGTGATCCACCCACTTAGGCCTCCCAAAGTGCTGGGATTACAGGCATGAACCACCACGCCCTGATGATAGACACGTTTTTAACTTCTAAAAATATATGATCATGATTGTGTCTGTGGAGACTTGCACATATACTAAATTTTAAACAATTAGAGATATTTGTTCATTACCACATTTTGGGAGTCATTATTTCCTCTATGAAGAGAGAAAGGAATTTGATACAAGTTCACAGGGGCTTCCAGTAGATTGAGACTTTTATTTCTAGCTGAGCTGCTGATGTATGAATTTTTTTTGTTATTATGACTTTCATATGTATTAAAAATAAAATGAAAAAACAAGGATTAGGTGAGGAACCTATACGTCTCTAATATGCAAAATACCACAGAAATAATGACTGTTGGGAAATTAGGCCTTAGCTCTGATGTTTGAACCATCCCCTCAATGTTTCCCAGTGCTTCTTAGAGTATTTTGATCACCTCTGTGTTGGTGCTTTAGAACTAGAGAAGAACGTTTTGTTAACTTTTTTTTTTTTTTTTTTTTTTTTTTGAGACAGAGTTTCACTCTTATTGCCCAGGCTGGAGTGCAGTGGCACAATCTCGGCTCACTGCAACCTCTGCCTTCTGGATTCAAGCGATTCTCCTGCCTTGGCCTCCAGAGGAGCTGGGATTACCTGCCACCACATCTAGCTAACTTTTTGTATTTAGTTGGTCGGGCTGGTCTTGAACTCCTGACCTCAGGTGATCCACCCATGTCAGCCTCCCAAAGTGCTGGGATTACGTGTGTGAAACACTGCACCTGGCCTTTTGTTAACTTTTAGTTTAAGTTCAGCAGTACACGTGCAGGTTTGTTATACAGGTAAACTCGTGTCATGGGGATTTGTTGTACAGGTTATGTTGTCACCCGGGTATTAAGCTTAGTACCCATTAGTTACTTTTCCTCAACCTCTCCGTTTTCCCACCCGCTACTCTCAGGTAGGTCCGAGTGTGTGGTGTTCTCCTCTATGAGTCCATGTGTTCTTATCACTTGGCTCACATTTATAAATAAGAACATGCTGCATTTGTTTTTCTGTTCCTGCGTTAGTGGGAGCTGAGGATGGGTGGAGCTGAGGATAATGGTCTCCAGCTCCACCCATGTTCCTGCAAAGGACATGATCTTGTTCTTTTGTATGGATGAATACTATAAAGTCTTCCAAACTGTTTTGGTTTTGGTTTGTTTTCTTTCTTGAGAAAGGAAAGACAAAACAGAAATAAAAGAGTAGGCCGAGCGGGGTGGCTCACGCCTGTAATCCCAGCACTTTAGGAGGCTGAGGCAGATGGATCACTAGGGGTCAGGAGTTTGAGACCAGCCTGAACAACATGGTGAAATCCCGTCTCCACTAAAAATACAAAAAATCAGTCAGGCATGGTGGCACATGCCTGTAATTCCAGCTACTAGGGAGGCTGAGGCAGGAGAATCGCTTGAATCTGGGAGGCAATGGGTTGCAGGGTGTGCTGGGATGGCACCACAGCCTGGGTGAAAGAGTGAGACTCTGTCTCAAAAAAAAATAATAAAATAAAAAAGGGAGAGAGAAAGAGTACCAATGTATGGCAGAAATCAAGAGAAGAGTTTGCTTTTTTGAATAACTACACCCTGGACATTAGTTTCAAGAAACCGTCTGCTGGAAATATAACTATATGTTTAAGTTGACGGATCATTATTACACGTAGCAGAAAGAAAGTCACTCCTTGCTAGAAAGCCCTGTGTAGGTCATTAGGCATCACAGTGTGGAGTTATCTAAGCAAGCACCAAGGTAGGATATCTGAATAACTGATTTATTTCCATGTTTACTGACAATATTCATTGCAACAAGTCAGTAGAGAAACAGTAAAGAGGGCAGGCATGGCTATGCTTCTATAGAATCTAGTGAAGAGGAGATAATTTCAAATAACCCAAGAAGGTAAATGAGTAGTCAAATTTTCAAAAGGACTATTAACTCACAAACAGGAAACTATAATAGAAAATAGTTGGTTGAAGGCAGAATGCCCAGTTCAGAAAAGATTCCTCTGAAAAGCAATATATAAGCATAGACTTCGAGGATGAAGAGTCACTCATTTTGAAAGAGCAGATGAAGAAAGTTTCAGGACAAAGAAACAGCCATCTGCAAAGACCTCAACAAAGATATCACACAGAAAATGCTGTATTTAATCTGTTGCTAGACAAAAGTGAGCTACGGATCACATGGTCTTGGATGAGGGAGACAGATGATATAGTTTGGATGTCCCGCCCAAATCTCATGTTGAAACCAGATCCCCAGTGCTGAAGGTGGAGCTTGGTGGGAAGTGTTTGGATCATGAGGTCGAATCCTTCGTGACTTGGTGCTGTCTCCATGGTAGTGCACCTACCCCAACACACTCTCTCTCTCTTGTTCCTGCTTTCACCATGTGAAGTGCCTGCTCCTGCTTTGCCTTCTGTCATGAGTAAAAGCTCCCTGAGGCCTCTCCAGAAGAAGATGCCACTGTGCTTCCTGTACAGCCTGCAGGACTGTGAGTCAATTAAACATTTTTATAATATCCAGTCTCAGATATTTCTTCATAGCAATACAAGAACAGCCTAATATAACAGATAAGCAGGGACTAAAGTCATCAAAATTAGAATTGTGCATTTAATTTTGATTGCATTTAATTTTCATTGCATTTAATTTTGATTGCATTGAAAAGGCAGATGCTTTGAGGCTAGAATGAGGTAATAACTGTTTTGTTTTGTTTTGTTTTGTTTGCTCTTAACAAATTAGTCTGACTTCAGTCCATAGTAAATTGGAGAGGAACTGGTAGAACATAAAAGAACTGGTAAAAAGCCATTGTAAACACTCAAGTTTCAAAAACAATTTTGTGGTAAGGGCAAATCCTCAGGTCAAGAAAAGTGTGTTACTAAATTCCGTTAGTTTCCAGAAGAAAGATAAAGTCATATGACACAGATTTTACTCCTTACGTTAGAGAGTGTGCTAAGGATACCACCCACATTTTCCAACATTTATTTCCATCATGTTTTATGATCTTCATCTATATTCCATCCTCGTTATTTCTAGCAAGTCTATGAAATTTCTTACATTAATAGAAATAATGTATTAATATTCAGCAATGTGCTAAACATTGTTGAAACATTGTCTCAATATTACTCTTGGAAGAGCTCTAAGGTAGACAATATTTCCAATATATGAGTCATGAGGAAACTGAGGAATGGAAAGATTAAACAACTTGTTGAGGGTAGCATAATTGTAAATGGTGAAGACATAATACAAATCCTAATATCTATGACTCTAATGCTTTAAAAAATCATTATATACACTACGCTGTCTCTGATGTGTGAATCTACCCACTTCTAATTCATTATAACAAGTATTTGTTGCCAGGTAGCATTCTAGGCTTTGGGGATACATCTTTGGAAAAGCTTACAGAAATCTCTGTCCTCAGGGAACTAATATTCTAGGGACTATACAATAAACAATAAGCAAAAATGTAACATGTATAGTGTGTTAGACTGTAGTAAGTACAATGGCAAAAAATTAAGAATGGAGAATGTCTAAGGGGACAGATTGTTTGGAATTTGAATAAAGTGGCTATGGAAAACCTCACTGGGATAATGGCATCTGACCAAAAGCATGAGGAAGATATAGAACAAACCGTATCTGTTGCATGTTTAGTAATAACCAAGAAAATACTGTACGTGAAGCTGAGTGAGAAAATTACATAGTGGAAGGAGGGAAGTCCATAGAAGAATTGGGGGCTTCATGTGGTGGAGCATCTATAAAGCATTGTGCAAGATTCTGACTTTTACAATGAATGAAACGAGAGATCAGAGTTTTACACAGAAGAAGGTAATAACCTGATACATGTTTTAAAGTGATTATACAAATTGCTCTTTTGAGGATGTACTGAAGGGTGCCTTACGCAGAATCAGAAACACCTGTTTGCTGGCCATTTCAATAACCTGGGCAATAAATGATGGTGGTTAGCACCAGGATGCTAGTGGTGAAAGTAGCAAAAATGATCAGAATTGAGCTGCATTTTGAACATACAGTTATTAAGTTCTGTGGCATGACAGAAAAATGATTCCATAATATTTCTATTGAGCAACCTTGTTGATGTGATATTCAAACTAAGTCCTAATATTAAACAATGTAGGAATTTCAATGAAAATATGACCAAAGGGAGAAAATGGCTCCCAACCTACTGTAATTAAAGTTCCCTTCTGTTGTTTTAAAATGCTACTATGGATAGAGAAAACAAGATATGGATTTGGAAGAAAATTACCCACAGTCTAATTGTCAGATTTATTGACTTAAAGATGTTACATGGCAATAAAGTTGAAAGAAAAATAAGAAGAAATTCTAAAAGCCAGCATGTTAGATTTATTCCCTCCACAAAAAGAATTGCTAATATTTATAAAGTGAGATAATAGGCCAAATACTTGTACTTGGCATAATTGCATTTTCTCAACAAATCCTATATAATCAACATTGTTTTATTTGTATATGTGTGAAAAATCATGACACCTGCAGTTTAAGTTACATTTGTATGAAACAGTCAATATGTGGCAGAGCCAGAATAAAGCCCACGTTTAGATTAAAGGAATTCTCTTTCCATTGCACCCACCCGTATTGCCTGTGGAAACCCTAAACAAGCCATTTAAATTTGTTGGAATTCCGTTTTTCAACTTTTTAAAACCTCTTAAGAGTCCAGTCCTAAATCAAGTTAATGTTTAAATTCTTCACTTATGCTTAGTATGTACATTATTCCAAAATGTGAATTGGTCCCAAATATCATATTCATTCTAACAGAGGACATTAAAAGTTTAAAAGATATCTGTTATATGGCTGAACTGATTATATTTTATCGGAAAGTGAAAGGAACGGAAAGGAACTACTCAGCATATTTCTAATGAGTATACAGAGGAAAAGTACTTTGCCTCATTTAATTTTGTAAAATCTCTCTCTGGCACATAATTCACAGTCTTTTTTTGCCCACAGGAATAGTGAGGCAGATATGTATTAATTCATGTCATAATACAAGAATAGGTAGCGATAAAACACTGGCATTTTCCAAATTGCCAGTATAAAGAATTGCCAGAAGAACATGGGTATTAGCTTCAGATTCTCCAAGGGGTTAACATTTATGTTATCTGTTAAATATGAATTATGTATTAACTTCTCATATTTCATATATAAAACTTTATGCTTTGGTCCTGTTCCTCGGGATGACCTTGATGTAATCAGAAATAATAGTGTTCTTTACCAAAGACATTAATCAATAACTTTATAATACGAAGCACTATGAATATTTAATGGCTTCAGCTTGAATAATTCAAATCCCGTATTACTAAAAAATAAAGTCAGTTGAGTGACTGAGAGTTCCATATTCCACAATTCCTACTCTGCTTACTACCTATTCTATTTACTATTCTCTTTACTATTTGAGAAGGGTATGGAGTTGTGTATGTTGCAAACATCACGTAACTTTTGTTCGACTTTCTTGAACACGTCATATTATTTTTTTTAGTTCATTTTCTGAATATAAGTAATTTTTGGTGAATTAATACTTTAAACAAGAGTTCACCTGGAAAGCAGTAGGCAAAATTTCATTAAAAATATTATTTTATTAACATACCTTAAAAATGTAATAGGACAATGCCTCAAAGAACAATTTCAAAATAAAAACACAGAAAACAAATGACCAGCAAAATTGCTCTGAAGTCTTAAAAACAGAAATAAATACTTCAATAATCATAGGTAATATGGAAATCCAATGTATGACTTACCTATAGAAAACCCTTCTGGAATTTCATTTAAATCTAACGTCAATATGAGCTATGTAGGAAGTCCATTAATAAATAAGAATATTATATAGGTACACATGTATATATTAATTTTAAGCCATATGCAGCCCTATTTGAAAATGTTAAAAAAAATCATCAGGATTAGTCCATACTGATTATTAAAAAATAAAATTGTCACTGCTCATTGTAGAAGATAAATGTCAGCTGTGCAGCAGATGTGTTTATAGCCACCCAGTAATCCTATCGCCTCAATAATGCATTTCCCTTTTTTTAGTTAAAAACTTAATTACATTAAGAAACTGTATGTGTTTAGGAATATGAATATAGAAGGAGTAATCATCGTTTAGTAAAATAAGTTTTACTTGCATATTAAAATTTACTGTGTTTGTGAAGATGCTGATAGTACATTACATATGGAGATCCAAGTGCACATAGTCACTAATTCTTTAAACTATGTTTGATATTAGTAATAATTTACTTTACATATATATCGGAATTTAATTGAAAAATAGTAAATGACTGCTAATATACATTATTCTTCTGAGTTGCATTTTTGCTTAATGAAATAGAATTTTTAAAAAAATTGTTTATCTTTATTCCTACTAGATTATACATTTCATGAGAAAAGCATTATCTCTTTATTAGTATATTTGTTTACCTGTATTAGAACTTGACTTTGAAATAAACCAGATATAATACCATTGTTGTAGATGTATTTATTGTAGTAAAAATAATATTCTGCATCTGAGTTTTGAGCAAGGAGATTTTACAGTCTCCTTTCAGTTAGAAAACTACAAGACCCTCTTAACTGATGTTGGAAATGTAAGTAAAGAAGATAAAAATTAAAATGATAAAGAAAAGCATTTGGGGTATAGTAGCACTGTGCTTCCCAGGAGAATGAGTTGTTAAGTGCTCACTCCGCATTTTTCAGTAACATATACTTAAAGTAAGCACACAGGGGCTACAGACGCTATTTTTTGGTTCAACATGACCTGAGCAGTTAATTATTTGTAAAGGGAAGAAGCAAGAATAGGCTCAGGGAGGGAGACAGAGAAAGACTGGGTAGGGCGGGGAGGGAGGGAGAGTTTCACCTGTATCTAAAACAGATCAGAAGCAATTTCTTCCTCCAACTCCTCACTTGTCTATTTCTACTAATAAAGAGCAAAACCAGACAAAATAGATTATTGTGTCATTTTTGTTTTCTTATTTTGTAATACACAGAAAAACTCAAGCTGGAGACGGAAATGAACAGATGCACATGGCTGGAAAGACTCAGTGCTAATCTCTACAATGTTGTTTTAATAGAATGGAGACAGGACCACATACTTTCTTACAATAATGAGGATCAATAAAGACAAAACTGACACTTTGTAATGAATAATGATCTGAACACTCACCTGAGAAAGTATCTCTTTGTTGCAGGTTTTTGGAAATGGGCTATATTTTTTGAATCATAACCGATATGTACTGCCATAAACAAGAGGATTTCAAGCCAGCTCCATCTGGTCGAAAATTATTTTATTTATTACTAAGAGAAAAGTGTAAGACAAGTCCTGTGGTAAAAACAGATTTATTGCCTCTGCTATTCACCTGTGTTATTTCTTCATATATTACCATTGACATATATTATCCATTCTTCACAGCAATGGCTTTGCCGTGGCAAATTAAATATCTCATTGTCCTTCTCTGTCCATTTTACATTATAATGTTTCTGAGCAGACTTTTATAGCTCTCTCACAGAATTATAGCAAGTCTTTAAATAAAAACAAAATTGAAACAAAAATTTTAGACTCAACTTAAAATCCCTCTTTATTTTATAATTTGGATTTTTAAGTAAAATATGCTATATCCTATTTAACGAGAACTTTCATATGTAATGTATCAATGGAATTATCTAAAGCTCATTTGGTTTTGCATAAAAACACAATTAGAGTAAAAACATTCTAAAATAGACACTGGAATAAAAACAATGAAAGCAAAACTATTAATTTTACATTTTTCATTCAAGTATTTTGATTTTTACTATATTATATTATTATATTAGGTATCAGAGTAATCATTGATCGCTTTCAAAACCCTGCTCCTTTCTAGGTGCAATGAAGAATTTTTATTTTATTGAAAAGTTATCTTAAGATGTAAGACTTGTGAATGATAGTAAAGATTTAGTAGACCCAATGTATTCTCAGATAAATGTAAAATAAGCAAGATATGAATTAAAGGATAAATATAGAGTTTAACAGCATAGATCTTAAAATCCATTATCATAAGGTAGAAGGATGTATAATTTATCATGATTAAAATATACTAAATATTCATATCACAGCATTCTGATTTCTGATATCTACAATTTAGGTGACATATATACATATGTGTGTATGTATATATAACTGTATTATTTGATATTTTAAAAGATAAAAGAGTTATATATTCAAATACCAGTATAGATGTTGCTCTGAAAGTATTGTTAGATGAGATTAACATGAAAATCAGTAATTTCTGAGAAAAGCAGATTATTTTCCAAAATATTGTAGGGCTCATCCAGTCAATTGATTATATTAAAAGACTGAGATCCCTCAAGGAAATAATTCTGCCTGCAGATTGCCTTTCGACTTGAGACTGTAACATCAACTTTTCTCTAGGTCTCTTGCTTGCTAGCCTACCCTGCCAATTTTTTATACATTAAAAAATATTTTTCTCAAATATTGTAGTTCTGCTATTTCCAGAAACGCTTGAGGATTGTACTTCCAAGTTCTTTTAAAGTTGATCATCGTCATGAAACTCATCATCAAATGGCATTTGAGCAAAATCTTTATTAATTAAACATGAGTGGAAGTTTAAAGGCCAAAGCACAACTCACTCAGGCATTGTGAACTATGTGTGCAGACAGATCACAACTCATCCTTGGTCTCTGGGTGTGTCTGCGTCTATTACTGACTTACCCTGGATATGTAAAATGAATAAGAAAAACTTTTTGTGTTAGCCACTGGGATTTTTGGTTTGTGTATTACTTTAGCATATTATCTCATTTTGAATGCTATAGTTTAGGACACTAGTTTAAACTACTGAAGTTAAAATGTTCTCCTTATTTCAGAGGAGAGAAGGATCTTACAGTGACAGACATCCATTAGTAAGAATTAATTTCTAGAGATAAAGTGAATTCAGTAACCACAGTGTCAGTAGAGTCAGCATGGTCAAAATAGTCTACATGGGAAATGTTTGGTGGCTCTTAGTTGATCATGGAGTCTCTAGAACCAAAAGTTATGAATGCCAATTAAGTTTCGATTTGGCTTATATGATCTCAAATCTTCAGGTTTACAAAACATATCTTGAGCCACCACCCAGCTCTGTCACCCAGGCTGGAGTGCAGTGGCACCATCTCAGCTCATTGCAGCCTCCGCCTCCGAGGTTTAAGCGATTCTCATGCCTCAGCCTCCTGAGTAACTGGGACTACAGGTGCTCACCACCATACAGGGATGTTTTTTCTATTTTTTTGGAGAGACACGGTTTCACCATGTTGGCCAGGCTGCTCTCGAACTCCTTACCTCATGATCCGCCCACCTCGGCCTCCCAAAGTGCTGGGATTACAGGCGTGAGCCACGGCGCCCAGCCCATTTTTTCTTTTCACCCACCTCGGCCTCCCAAAGTGCTGGGATTACAGGCGTGAGCCACTGCACTGAGCCTACAGCTCATTTCTTAACACATAAAGCTTTGCACCTCTCCACAAAACTGCCATCAGGGATGTCCCCAGAAACCATTCATCCCAGGTGCCACGCAGAGAAGAGTTGCTTGTTCTCCTTTTCCCTTTACCTCTTCCCTCTCACCTCATCATGTTCATTCATTCATCCCTTTTCCATTCTCACTTTTAAGCTTTAACCTTTCAAAAGCCTATCTTCCCCTATAAGTAATGTATTGTAACTCCCGCCATCACCATATCCTTCTCCAACCAACCAAACTGCCATCCTGAGTTTATGGAAAGTCCATAAACTAAGAAGAAATGGGAAACATTCATTGCTAACTTGGCAGCCCCTCATCCACCCTACGTGAGAGCACAGATCTTATTGTCTTTGAAGACCCTTTCTTTTTTTTTTTTTTTTTTTTGAGAAGCAGTCTCACTGTCGCCCAGGCTGGAGTGCAGTGGCACAATCTCGGCTCACTGCAAGCTCCAACTCCTGGGTTCATGCCATTCTCCTGCCTCAGCCTCCCGAGCAGCTGGGACTACAGGCACCCGCCACCACGCCCGGCTGATTTTTTTTGTATTTTCAGTAGAGACAGGGTTTCACTGTTAGCCAGGATGGTCTCGATCTCCTGACCTCGTGATCTGCCTGCCTCGGCCTCCCAAAGTGCTGGGATTACAGGCATGAGCCACCGTGCCCAGCTCCTTTTTTTTTTTAAAGACAGGTCTCACTCTGCTGCCCAGGCTCAAGTGCAGTGGTGTAATCATGGCTTACTGCAGCCTCCAACTCCTGTGCTCAGGCTATCCGCCTGCCTCAGCCTCCCAAGCAGCTAGGACTACAGGCACACACCACCACACCTAGCTAATCTGTTTAGTTTTTGTAGAGATGGGGGTCCTGCTATGCTGAACAGGCTGGTCTCGAACTCCTGGCCTCAAGCAATCCTCCCACCTTGGCCTCCCAAAGTGCTGGGATGACAGGCATGAGCCACCATGCCTGGTCTGAAGACTTTTAAATGCTGCCATATTCAAGACGCGTTGAAACTCACCTGTATTCGATGAGCCTGCTTTTCGCAAATGAGTAACATAAAACAGACTGAAATACCTTAAGCTTCTCAGCCTTTTACCCTCCTCTGGAATAATGAGTGTATCCCAAAAGTAAATCCATAATGAGGTCCAGTTTTTCCTTCATCCTTGGCTATGAAATAGACAAGAAAAAGGCAAGCTAGCCATTTCCATCTCACTATAGCAGACTCTCATGTTTGCTTTTTGACCGTACGTGGGAAGCGGGGGCCTGACTGCTTTCCTACTTCCTAAGCACAACTTACTTTTCCTAGGAAATTCTCAACACAACCTACATGGATTAAACCAGGTTCCCCCCTTTGTTTCCAATATTCTTACAGCCAAAATGTCCAGAATGGGCAAGGCAACCTGAAAAAATGAGGACGGGTACATTATCCCATGCGCTAAACTGCCACTTACACTGGTTAGTCATGAAATCGGCAAAATTCCAGATGAGCTCTCCAACCACGTATTTTCTGCGTTTTTGATCCAGACCCAGATGGTACTGCTCTAGCAGACTTTTCCGGTCCTCTTCACTGAACATCAGAGGTGGATCCTGGGATTCAAGGCAAAGAGAATTAAGAGTAAGAACTGGCAGAATTGTAAATGTTAGATAAAAATAAAGATCCACTTGATGGTGACCAAAATATCTGTCCTCACTGGGGGCTGTAGGGACTGCAGGACTCACTGATGCTAGGGTAAAGACAGCCAGGGAGAAATTGGAAATCATCATTCTCAGTAAACTATCGCAAGAACAAAAAAACAAACACCGCATATTCTCACTCATAGGTGGGAATTGAACGATGAGATCACATAGACACAGGAAGGGGAACATCACACTCTGGGGACTGTTGTGGGGTGGGGGGAGGGGGGAGGGATAGCATTGGGAGATATACCTAATGCTAGATGACGAGTTAGTGGGTGCAGCACACCAGCATGGCACATGTATACGTATGTAACTAACCTGCACAATGTGCACATGTACGCTAAAACTTAAAGTATAATAATAATAATAAAAAAATACAAAAAAAGAAACGACAGCCAGGGAATGATGTAACCCAGAATTAAAAAGGAGGTTTAAAAAAAAACCATCAATTAGCAACTGCTTTATTTATAAATATAAACTGATACTCAATTTTTCTTACTTTTCCGTCTCTGTCTGCTGATACAGTCTTAAGGCTGAACTACACTAGAAGGAAAAATATGTCTTTAGGTCAGGCGCGCTGGCTCATGTCTGTCATCCAAGCACTTTGGGAGACCGAGGTGGGAGGACTGCTTGAGCCTAGGAGTTCAAGACTAGCCTACAAAAAGTACAAAAGTTAGCCAAGCATGGAGGCACACACCTGTGGTCCCAGCTACTTGGGAGGCTGAGGTGGGAGGACTGCTTCAGTCCCGGAGGTCAAAGCTGTGGTTTGCACCACTACACTCCAGCCTGGGTGACAGAACAAGACCCTATCTCATGAATGAATGAATGAATGTAAAATGAAATTAAACTAAACCAGGCTGGGCATGGTAGCTCAGGTCTGTAATCCCAGCACTTTGGGAGGTCGAGGCAGGAGGATCACTTGAGCTCAGGAGTTCAAGATCAGCCTAGGCAACACAGTAAAACCCAGTCTCTATAAAAAGGCTAAATATTCGCTAGGTGTAGTGGCGCATGACTGTGGCTCCAGCTACTTGGGGGGCCGAGGAGGAAGGATCACTTGAGCCCAGGAGGTTGAGCAGTGAGCTGTGATTACGCCACTGCACTCCAGCCTGGGCAACAGAGTAAGGCTGTCTCAAAAAAAAATTTTTTTTAATTAAACCAAATAAATTCAGTTATCCTAGTCATATATCAAGACCTCAATAGCCACATGTAGCTAGTGGCTACCATTTCAGACAGTGCAGACATGGGGCATTTCCATCATTGCAAAGGTTCTTTTTTGAAACAAGGTCTCACTCTGTCACCCAGGTGGGAGTACAGTGGTGCAATTATGGCGGACTGCAGCCTTGACCTACTGGGCTCAAACAGTCCTCCTACCTCAGCCTCCCAAGTAGCTGGGACTAGAGGCAAGCACGACCATACCCAACTATTTTTTTTTTTTTTTTTTGAGACGGAGTCTTGCTCTGTCGCCCAGGCTGGAGTGCAGTGGCACAATCTCGGCTCACTGCAACCTCCACCTCCCCAGTTCAAGCGATTCTCCTGCTTTAGCCTCCTGAGTAGCTGGGATTACAGGTGCATGCCACCACACCCAGCTAATTTCTGTGTTTTCTTAGTAGAGACGGGGTTTCACCATCTTGGTCAGGCTGGACTTGAACTCTTGGCCTCGTGATCCACCCACCTCAGCCTCCCAAAGTGCTGGGATTACAGGCGTCAGCCACTGCACCCAGCCACAACTCATCTTAAATATTTTGTAGAGATGGGGTCCATGTTGTGCAGACTGGTCTCAAACTCCTGGGCTCAAGAGATCCTCTGACCTCGGTCTCCCAAAGGGCTAGCATTCCAGGTGTGAGCCAGCACACCCAGCACTGCAGAGGTTCTATCAATGCTCACCTAGACCCTCTCGAGTTTCTTAAGAATTCAGAACTGGGGCTGGGTATGGTGGCTCATGCCTGTAATTCCAGCACTTTGGGAGGCCAAGGCAGGTGGATCGCTTGAGGTCAAAAGTTCAAGACCAGCCTAACCAACATGGTGAAACCTCATCTCTACTAAAAAAAAAAAAAAAAAAAAAAAAATTAGGTGAGCATGGTGGTGCATGCCTGTAATCCAAGCTACTTGGGAGGCTGGTGCAGGAGAATTGCTTGAACCTGGGAGGCGGAGGTAGCAGTGAGTCAAGATTGCACCACTACACTCCAGCCTGGGCGACAAGTGAAACTCCTCCTAAAAGGAGAAAGAATTCAGAGCTGGTTACCTTTTCAAAGAGAATGAACAAGGGTGCATATCCACAAATCACTTCCCCCTACTTGACTAGTTTGCAGAAGTGTCATTCTGTAAGCACGATAAATTTAAGGGTGCAAACAGAACAGTGCAGTCCATTGTGGGTGGCTGTTCCCTGTGTGTCAACGGGAGTCCCAGGAGCTGTGCAAAAGAGTGTGAGCTGGCTGGGGAGGGGACAAGGGGCTGGATGGGGTTCAGGAATCCACATGAAAAAAACCCCACAAGACAAAGCAACATATCTTTGGTGAGAAGGACAAAAAATGAGATGGATAAACAAATGAGGACAGGCCAGGCATGGTGGCTCAGGCCTGTAATCCCAGGATTTTGGGACGCGGAAGCAGGCAAATCACTTGACGTCAGGAGCTCAAGACCAGCCTGGCCAACATGGCAAAACCCCACCTCTACAAAAATACAAAAATTAGCTGGGCATGGTGGCAGGTGCCTGTAATCCCAGCTGCTTGGGAGGTTGAGGCAGGACAATCGCTTGAGCCTAGGAAGTGGAGGTTGCAGTGAGCTGAGATCACACCATTGCACTTCAGCCTGGGTGACAGAGTGAGACTCCATCTCAAAAAAAAAAAAAAAGACAAAGTGAGTGATTAAACATGGCTCTAAGATCTCACCCATGCCCTCAATAGGTATTATTTAGCATGTACTGTGTCAGCTATTGCAGAGTACCTGGGAAACAACAATAAATAGGACTCCTGTCTCCTGAGCCCACAGTCCGATCAAAGAGAGAGCCAAAGAAATAACAACGGTGCCTGGCGAGAATGTTGGGGGAGCCAGGTTCCGGCTGCAACAGGGCAGAGCACGGGGAAGGTTCCCTCCGCCTGGGGCAGGCAGGGTAAACCTCCCCACAGAGGGGACAGCTATGAGGAGACTCAGATGCCAAATAGGAATCTTTTCAGCCACGTGTCGTGACTCATGCCTGTATTCCCAGTACTTTGGGAGTCCAAGACAGGAGGTGAAGACCAGCCTGATAGCGAGACTCATCTCTACAAAATATTTTAAAACTAGGCTGCACATGGTGGTGCACGCCTGTAGTCCCAGCTACTCAGGAGGCTGAGGCAGGAGAATTGCTTCAGCCCAGGAGTTCGAGGCTGCAGTGAGCTATGATGACACCACCACACTCCAGCCTGGGCAACAGAACAAGACCCTGTCAGGAAAAAAATAAAAAATAAAAAAAGGCTAGCACAGTGGATCACACCTGTTAATCCCAGAACTTTGGGAGGCCAAGGCAAAAAGATCAATTGAGTCCAGGAGTTTGAGACCAGCCTGGGCAACATAGCAAGACCCTATCTCTAAAAAAATAAAAAGAAAAGGATCTTTTAGTTGGTGATTATGGTGCCAACTTGGGCATTCCAGGCAGAAAGAATAGCTCAAGCAAGAGCAGGAGAGCAAATGAGGGCAGTGGAAACAGATCAGTGGCCAGGAGTGAGAAGAGAAGAGGATGAAAACCCAGGAGAGAGCAGAGGACACTGAGTGTCCTGACTAGGGGTTAGGACTTTGTCCTATGGGCCTGGGGGAGCCAATGACAGGACTCAAAAATTTTGATTTGTGGCCGGGCACAGTGGCTCACACCTGTAAATCCCAGCGCTTTGTGAGCCTGAGGCAGGAGGGTCACTTGATCCCAGGAATTCAAGACCAGCCCGGGGAACACAACAAGGCCCCATCTCTACAAAAGTAAAAAAATTAGCCAGGCATGGTGGCCTGTGCCTATGGTCCCAGATACTCAGGAGGCTGAGGTGGGAAGATCGCTTGGGCCCAGGAGGTTAAGGCTGCAGGGAGCAGTGATCGCACCACCGCACTCCAGCTTGGGTGACAGAGAGAGAGGCGGTCTCAAAAACACATAAAAATTTGGATTTCTTAGAAAGACCACTTGGGCACGGGTGATAGGAGGCTGTCTGGAAACAAGGCCAGTAAGGAGTCCACCTTTGAGGACCAAGCGAGTGGGGCAGAGGCCTGGCTGCTGGTGAGAAGGGAACGTGGACAGGGTAGCGGGAGGTGAGCCCAAAGCTGAAGCAAGGGGAGCACTGCAGTGGGCGCAGGGCAGGGTGGGGGAGGCAAGTGGCATCTCTGCCCAGAGAGAATACACAAGCAGAAAGTTCAACACCGCTTACCTGGTGAAGCCTTACAAGCGTTTCCACTCCATACGCGCTCTGAATAATGGGATTGTGATGTCTTACACCAATTCTCAAACTGGGCGGCCAGCTGCAGCTGAATCAACTCCAGGTGCCCGTAGTTGCGATACCAAGAGTAGTAGCTGTTCACACGGATCACATCCACATACAGAGCCTAGGACCAGAGCAGCAGAGCCCGTTCAGCAACCACAAGACCGCATGACTCAGTACTCACATGCTGTGGGGGCTCCTCTGACAGAGAAGGTAAGAAGGGGATGTAATCCCAGCACTCTGGGAGGCTGAGGCAGGAGGGTGGCTTGTGGCCAGGAGTTCGAGACCAGCCTGGGCAACACAGCAAGACCCCAGCTCTACAAAAAATAGTATCAAGAAAATCAGCACGGCACAGTGGCTCATGCCTGTAATCCCAGCACATTGGGAGGCCAAGGTGGGAGGATCACTTGAGCCCAGGAGTTTGAGACCAGCCTGGGCAACATCGTAGGACTCCATTTCTACAAAACAAAACAAAAAGCCTACAACGGGAAGAGCTGCCTCTCGGGGCTGAGAACATCCAACTGCACCAATTTAGATCCTGAAATTACCCTGCCCCACAAGCAAAAAACATGGTCACAAAGTGGCCCAAAGGAGGCAGGCCTGTGATTGCACACTGACGCTCACGACGTGTGCAGCTGGGAAGGGCTGTGAGAGGCAGAGCAGCTGCCAACACGCAGTCCTCAGCCAAAACCCAGGGCCCCCGCCACTGGAACTGACTCCTCTCCAGGCAGCACTCCCAGCACTGGGCATCCCCTCACCTTGCCCTGGAGAAGCCCTCCCACCCAAGGGGCCAATGCAGTCATTCTCGCAGATAATCTTTTTCCGCTTTGTTTGGAAGACAGAGTCTCGCTCTGTTGCCCAGGCTAGAATGGAGTGGCACAATAATGCAACCTCTGCCTCCCACGATCAAGCGCAGGCGTGGTGGCATGTGCCTGTTATCCCAGCTACTTGGGAGGCTGAGGCAGGAGAATTGCTTGAACCTGGGAGGCGGAGGTTGCACTGAGCTGAGACTGTGCCACTGCACTCCAGCCTGGGCAACAGAGCAAGACTCTATCTTAAAAAAATAATAAAAAATAAAAAAGAATGCTAGTATCAGCCAGGCACGGTGGCTCATGCCTGTAATCCCAGCACTTTAGGAGGCTAAGGCAGGAGGATCACTTGAGCTCAAGAGTTTGAGACTGGCCTGGGCAACATAGTGAGATCCCATCTCTACAAAAACATTTAAAATTAGCCGGGCACAGTGGTGTACACCCGGAGTCCCAGCTACTTGGAAGGCTGAGGCAAGAGGGTTGCTTAGGCCCAGGAATTCAAGGCTGCAGTGAGCTGTGATCACACCACTGCACTCCAGCCAGAGCAACAGAGTAAGACCTTGCCTTCACACACACACACAAAAAAACATAAAACTCAGGTTCCAACCCTGGAGTTACTAAATCAGGATCTCAGAACGCAGAGATCTGGCATTTCAATAAAACTTCCCCTGGAGATTCTGATCAGCCAGGTTTGGGCCAGATGAACTCTAAGCTCACTTAAACCTTTGACATTTTATGAGTCTATTAAATCGAGTACAAAAAATGCTGAGTCCAAACCGGGCAAACAAATCCCATCTCCCTATGCCCAGCCTCCTTGGATTCAGAAAGCCACACTGCCTGGAGAGTAAGCAGAGAGAGAATTGTCATTAACCCAAAGACCATCTTTGAAAACAGACTGGCTGCGGCTGAGTGCGGTGGCACACGCCTGTAACCCCAGCCCTTTGGAAGGCCGAGGCAGGAGGATCACTTGAGCCCAGGAGTTCGAGACCAGCCTGGGCAACATGGCAAGACCCTGTCTCTATCTTTCTAAGTAAAACAAAATAAAAAGCTCAGACTGGCAGCACATGGTTCTTTCCAGCTGTTCCCATGAGCAGGCTTCAGGACAAGCCCAGGCAAAGGCAGGGAGAAATGGGGTGGGGACCCCCAGGCTCACCCCCTTGTCTGCTGCGTAGGTGGAGTTGGTCACAAAGGTCACAGGCTGGGAGGGGTCCAAGGCTTTGGTGTGAGCAATCACCATCCTGTCCACAAAAGAGAGAAGACACAGGTTCCGTCAGTCCGGGAAAGGCTCAGACACCCTCCCATCCTCTCTGTCCCATCTTCCCCTGCCAGAACACAACTGGGGGCCAGGCACGATGGCTCACGCCTGTAATCCCAGCACTTCAGGAGGCTGAGGCAGGCAGATCACTGAGGTCAGGGGTTCAAGAACCGCCTGGCCAACATGGCAAAACCCCATTTCTACTAAATATACAAAAATTAGCCAGGCATAGTGGCACGCATCTGTAACTCCAGCTACTCGGGAGGCTGAGGCACAAGAATTGCTTGAACCCGGGAGGTGGAGGTTGCAGTGAGCCGAAATCACGCTACTGCACTCCAGCCTGGGCCACAGAGCAAGACCCTGCCCCAAAACAAACAAACAAACAAACAAACAAAAAAAAAAAAAAGAAAGAAAAAAAAGGAAAAAAAAAAAAAAACAAAGCACAGAGCCGCTGCTTTCTTCCCTAACTTGAGATGTATTTTACATAAGGGCACGTTCCTCTAGTCCTAGACCGAGCTCTCTAACAACACTCTTTCTCCCCCACCCCTGAATCCAACTCCCCCAGAGGCGTAGCCACCCTGCCGGGTACACAGAGCTGAGGTCACTGGACTGAACACTGCCAGAAATGAGGTTCACTTCCTGAAATAGCTCTTGAACACAGGAGTGAATGGGCTGTGGATTCAGGTGGAATATTTATTAATGCATCAAGCAAACAGGTAGTGCGAGGTGGGAGGTAGGCATGAGGCTGGGTGCTAGGTGCTCAGTAATGACTCAAATCTAAGTCCACAGGTCCTGGGCAGTGGGAGTGGAGATGCATGCACAGAAAAACGGTGCAAGTGCCAGGCGAGGTGGCTCACGCCTAGAACCCCAGCACTTTGGGAGGCTTACTTGAGACCAGGCGCTTGAGACCAGCCTGGACAACATAGCAAGACCTTGTTTCTACAACAAATTTAAAAATTAGGGCCGGGCATGGTGGCTCAAGCCTGTGAGCACTTTGGGAGGCCAAGGCAGGTGGATCACGAGCTCAAGAGTTCGAGACCAGCCTGGCCAACATGGTGAAACCCCATCTCAACAAAAAATAAAGAAGAAAACTAGCTGGGCATGGTGGCGTGAGCCTGTAATCCCAGCTACTCGGGAGGGTGAGGCAGGAGAACTGTTTGTACCCAGGAGGTAGAGGATGCAGTGAGCCAAGATCGCAACACTGCTCTCCAGCCTGGGAGACAGAGCAAGACTCTGACTCGTGGGGAAAAAAAAAATATTAAAATTTAGCCTGGCAAGGCAGCGCACGTCTGTGGTCCCAGCTATTTGGGAGGCTGAGTGGGGAGGATCGCTTAAGCCCAGGAGGTCGAGATGGCAACGAGCTATGATTGCACCACTGCACTCCAGCCTGGGCAACAGAGTGAGACCCTGACTCTGAAAAACAAACAATGAAAGAAATGTTGCGAATGGAAATGACAAGTGGTGGCAGGAATTGGGCACTCTATGAGACAACAGACACATCCCCGATTGGAGAGTCAGGGACAGGCTCTTAGAAGAAATGGCCTTTATGCTGAGTCAAGTTAACCAGGAGGGATGAAGGGAAGAGGCTCCCAACAGAGGGACCAGTCCGTGCTCAGAGCTCCCAGCATCTGCCCAAGGCCTCCACAGAACAGACTGTTGTGTTTTTGTTTTGTTTTGTTTTGTTGAGATACAGAGTCTCATTCTGTAGCCCAGGCTGGAATGCAGTGGCATTATCTCAGCTCATTGCAATCTCTGCCTCCTGGTTCACCTGAGGCGATTCTCCTGCCTCAGCCTACCTGGTAGCTGGGATTACAGACGTCCACCACCATGCCCAGCTAATTTTTGTATTTTTAGTAGAGACAGGATTCACTACCTGTTGACCAGGCTGGTCTCGAACTCCTGACCTCGGGTGATCCACCCACCTCAGCCTCCCAAACTGCTGGGATTACAGGCGTGACCCACCGCATCCGGCCTAGACCGTTGTTGAAGCTGGTTTTCTTCTTCTTTCCTCAGTTCTTTTCTTTTACATCTTCCCCCCATCATTGCTCTGCCCATCCGAAGGCTGTGGCTGGCACAGGACAGAATAGAACCTCCTAGCCTCAAGTTCCAAACCCACACTCTCCAATAGCCAGGCTCTCAGATGGGAAGCTTCAAAGCCTTGTGACAGCCTGGCTGAACCTCTCCAGCCTGGGCCCTCCCTCCATTTCCTGCCCCGGAAACAGGCATCTCCTCTGGCCACCTCCCAAAGCCTGTCTGGAAGCCTCAGGCACCCGCTCCTGGAAGCCTGTACGATTCACAACAAACGGCCTGTCCACCCAGTCGTGCTGAGCACACCCCTATTCCCCCGAGCTCTGAACTGTCCTTTGCCCAGGCTAGGACAACATCTCAGAGCCTTCTGCCTGCTGCAGACTCGGCTCAGCCCAAATCACTCCATGAAATTGGGGTGTGGCATCTGCCTCAAGGAGCATTTCTACAACCTCTGCTGCCTCTACCGCAAATGAAACTGGCTCTCACCCACTGGCTCTCGGTGACGGGCACAGTGCGGAGCCCCACAGGGAGTGTGTAGAAGTCAAAGGCCCCAGTGACTTCTGTGCAGTCAGCCGCACCTACGACAGCCAAAGCGCCAGGTGTGAGCGCCCCGACAGCCTGAGCCCCATCTGGCCTGCCCTACAGCAGGAAGACCCCTCGTGCATGCACCCCAGAAGTCGCCACTGGGCCTGCAGAGAAGCAGCAATCAGAGGCTCTGCCCTTCACTGGCTGACCCTGGGACCTGCCCTTCAAAATCAGGCCTTCTCCTTGACCAGACGAGGTGGCTCATGCCTGGAATCCCTACACCTTGGGAGGCTAAGGCAGGAGGATCACCTGAGTCCAGGAGTTCAAGACCAGCCTGGGCAACCTAGTAAGACCCCAACTCTATAAAAAGGAGTTTTTTTTTTGAGACAGTCTCACTCTGTCACCCAGGATAGAGTGCTGCGGCATGATCTCAATTCACCGCGGCCCCTGCCTCCTGGGTTCAAGCAATTCCCCTGCCTCAGCCTCCCGAGTAGCTGGGATTACAGACGTGCACCATCATGCCCTGCAAATTTTCATATTTTAGTAGAGACGGGGTTTCACCATGTTGGCCAGGCTGGTCTCCAACTCCTGGCCTAAAGTGATCTGCCCGCGTCAGCCTCCCGAAGTGCTGGGATTACAGGTGTGAGCCACCATGCCCGGCCTACAAAAAAAATTTTTTTAATTAGCCAGGCATGGTGGCATGTGCCTGTAGTCCCAGCTACTCAGGAGGCCAAGGTAGGAGGATTGCAGCTCAAAGCTGCAGTGAGCTGTGATCAGGCCATTGCATTCCAGCCTGGGTGACAGAGTGAGACCATCACAAAAACAAACAAACAAACAAATAAATAAATAAATAAATAAATAAATAAAAAATCTGGGCCTCCCACCAAGGGTGGGAAACATCAGAAAGCTCAGAGGACCACACCTGCCCGTTCACCTGTCCTGGGCTCCTGCTGAAGCCAGGGCTACCAGATGGGGGCAAAAGACCTCCCTTACGCAAGTCCCAAACCACCATTACCTCCCACGAGTACAGGTAGGCGGGGTGTTCGTGCATCAGGTACGGCCACCAGAGGTTGGCACCCAGCACCTTCAGCTGGCCCTGGGTCCCAGCCTGGTTGTCCACGACTTTGTTTTCTGCATTCAAAAGACACACTTCCAACTTGAACTGGTTACTGCACTTGACGGAGATCTGGTAATTCACCAGCCCTGCAGGAGGCAAGAGAGACCAGGGCTTAGGGAGGGACATGACCTGGGTCACACAAACGGGAAGGCCCCACAATGACCACTCCCAGGCACTCTCATTTGCTTCTGTTGCTTTTTTTTTTTTTCTTTGAGATAGAATCTCGCTCTGTCACCCAGGCTGGAGTGCAGTGGCATGATCTGGACTCACTGAAACCTCTGCCTCCCAGGTTCAAGTGATTCTCCTGCCTCAGCCTCTGGAATAGCTGGGATTACAGGCACCTGCCACCACATCCAGCTAATTTTTGTATTGTTAGTAGAGACGGGGTTTCACCACATTAGCCAGGATGGTCTTGATCTCCTGACCTCGTGATCCGCCTGCCTCGGCCTCCCAAAGTGCTGGGATTACAGGCTTGAGCCACCGTGCCCGGCCCTGAACCAATGCGCCCAGCCCGCTTTTAATTTAATTTTTTAATTTTTTTTTTTTTTTTTTTTTTTTTTTTTTGAGATGGAGTCTCACTGTCACCCAGGCTGGAGTGTAGTGCTGCGATCCTGACTCGCTGCAACCTCCACCTCTGGAGTTCAGGTGATTCTCCTGCCTCAGCCTTCCGAGTACCTGGGAATACAGGAATGCACCACCATGCCCGGCGAATTTTTCTATTTTCAGTAGAGACGGAGTTTTGCCATGTTGGCCAGGCTGGTCTCGAACTCCTGAACTCAGGTGATCCACCCGCCTCAGTCTCCCAATAGATTAGATATATTATTAATGAATTGCTTCCTTTAACACCCTATTCATTGAATTTTCCAGTAAACCACAATTACTAATTACTCCTGAAATCAGAAAAGAGGTTAAAAAGATTTTATAACAGTATCCTATGAAATCTACTACTTTCAAGTAATAGTAGTTGAATTACCAAAACCCGTCACTCAAGCCAATGACTACAATTAAGATATGAGTAACATTTCCTAGATAAATAAAGTCAATTAATTATATTTGCATCTGGGAAATAGAGAAAGTACATATAAGCCATGATTTTGAAGTCAAAAGAGAGAGAATATTTGCCAAGGAGGGGTGAGTTATAGTATGTAATTATAACATACAGAAGTTTTTTGTATGCTGGTAACTAATTTTAATTTCCTACATTTTTATGTAGATTTCTGCTATTCTTGTCCTATTTTCCTAATCATCTTTCTATATGAATGACTACATAATTCTGAGAATACCAAAAGAGACAGACACAGAACCAATCGGATTCCTTTCTTCTTGAAGCTTCTGCACAGCAAAAGAAACTATCAACAGAGTGAACAGACAACCTACAGAATGGGAGAAAATTTTTGCAACAATGCATGTGACAAAGATCTAATGTCCAACACTGATAAGGAACTTAAACAAATTTACAAGAAAAAAAAAATCTCATTAGAAAGTGGGCACAGGACATAAACAGACACTTCAAAAGAAGACACACATGCGGCCAACAAGCATATGAGAAAAAGCTCAATATCACTGATCATTAGAGAAATGCAAATCAAAACCACAATGGCATACCATCTCACACCAGTCAGTATGGTTATTATTAAGAAGTCAACGCTGGGCATGGTGGCTCACGCCTATAATCCCAGCACTTCAGGAGGCCAAGGCAGGCAGATCGCATGAGGTCAGGAGTTCCAGACCAGCCTGGACAACCTGGCGAAACCCCGTCTCTACTAAAAATACAAAAATTAGCCCAGCGTGGTGGCGGGTGCCTGTAATCCCAGCTACTCAGGATGCTGAGGCAGGAGAATCGCCTGAACCCGGGAGGCAGAGGTTGTAGTGAGCCGAGATCATACCACTGCACTCTCCAGCTTAGGTGACAGAGCGAGACTCTGTCTCAAAAAAAAAAAAAAATATTTGAATTTTGTTTAAATCGCTAACACATACTGGGCATTTAATAACAAAAAAAAAAGGACATGAGATTGTGATCCTTATGAAGGTTTGAGAGGCATTTCACTAGGGTTCAACATACAGCAGTCTGAAACATACTGTAATAATTTAATCCAATGGCTCATCTACAGCACCTAAAAAGATTACAGCAGATTCTCATTATTCAGTGTAGTTACGATCTACAAAGTTCCATGAACAAATAAAAAGTTAGGTTTCAGCAAGCTACTGGTCACACTTTTGTAAGCTTACCAACACCTACTTTTGTTGTATGTGTGCTTATTTAATATATATTGTTGGCCAGGCACAGTGGCTAACGCCTGTAATCCCAGCACTTTGGGAAGCCAAGGCGGGCAGATCATTTGAGGTCTGGAGTTCGAGACCAGCCTGGCCAACGTGGTGAAACCCCGTCTCTACTAAAACTACAAAAAAAAAAAAAAAAAAAAAAAAATTAGCCAGGCATGGTGGCGCATGCCTGTAGTCTTAGCTACTTGGGAGGCTAAGGCAGGGGAATCGCTTGAACCCAGGAGGCAGAGGTTGCAGTGAGCCAAGACTGCACCACTGCACTCCAGCCTGAGCAACAGAGTGAGACTCTATCTCAAAAAAAATAATAATAATAATTAATTAAATGAAGAATAAATAAATAATATACATTGTTCATTCATTAACATTGAACTCACAGCCAACGGCACTACAGCACTCACGCCTGAATGGAGTTTATTTAATGCATGTATTTTCTCTGTAAGACACATCACAGACTTCTTGGACTTGTGAATGCTAAGCAGCACTTCAGCACTATGCTTGGGGGTTAATTTAAATGGCAAAACAACCAACAAACAGCACAAAAACAGGAAAAGCATGGCATTAAATAGACCACAAAAAGGATACCTGACTATTGTATGAGAGCTGAAAAAGAAGGCAGAATATCATCCTGTTCAAACTCAAATTCTTTGACACTCTGCGCAAACACATGACTATGAAAGTGCTGTGAGTACTGATTTGGGGGTTACAAAAAATAGTAGGTGAGTTCACAAATACAAAAGCTGAAAACAAGGAGGATCGACTGTATTTTCGTAGACAATCTAATCTCAGAAGATTTCAGTTCAGACAAAAATCATGATAATTACTGTATTACAAAAGGGCACTAGATAGGGGGAAAAGAGTAAAAATCACAATTAAAACAAAGGTTCAAAATTCTGCAGCAACCATATCCAGTTACACTTTAATATGTTTGTGGCAGACTACATTATTGTTCCCAACTCATCACCCCTCCCTATATCTAAAACCTTTCCCCAAGACAATGCAGTTCCTCCTGCTAGAGATCAGGTATATTTATCTATACTATCAATGTTAGCCATGGACAAGGTATGTGCTTTGGCTGACTGAATGTTAGTGGACATGAGAGAAGCAATGGCTTAAAATGTACTTCCAGAACTGGAGTTTCCTTGTGATTCTATCACTGTGACAAAAACACATTCTCAGGTAGTCCACTGATCCAAGGGGGAACAAACACACAGAAAACATACCTAGACTCTATCTGCAGCTTGCAGCCTCACCAAGCCAAGAACAGTCAACTCACAGATATGTTAGCAAAAATAAATGTTTTTCATACCTTAAGTTTTATATAATTATTGACCTACAGTTAACTGATATACAATATACATTAATCTTAAAATATCATTATCCCATTAAAAATACTTACATTAAAAACTGAGACCACTTTCTTTCCTTTTTTTTTTTTTTTTTTTAAATTAAGAGACAGGGTGTCTCAATGTTGCCCAAGCTGGAGTTCAGTGGCTAGTGGCTATTCACAAGAACGATCATCGCACACTACCTCAAACTCCTGGGATCAAGCAATCCTCCTGCCTCAGCTTTCCAAGTCGCTGGGACTATAAGTGTGTACCACAGCATGTCAGCTCTCTCTCTCCTTCTTGACCTAAAGCCTAGCATAAAATTAGCTAAGTAGAATGTTTCCAAAGATGCCTGCATCAGTATCTCCCATCCCACATAATTTCTGTTTGATTTTGCCATTCACCCATAAAATGGTGGGATCTACCTCCCCTCCTTGCAAATTTGAGCTGGCCCTCTGATCCTGTCTAAGATCTGAAGCCAGATATTAAGGTACTTCATTAATTTCCATGTTTGTCCTCTATGCAACCTAGCAATCAAGCAAGAAGTCAAAACATACTGACATAGTTTGGATGGGTCCCCACCCAAATCTCACCTTGCATTGTAATAATTCCCACGTGTCAAGGGTGGGGCCGGGTGCAGATAACTGAATCATGGGGATGGTTCCCCCCATACTGTTCTCGCGGTAGTGACTAAGTCTCATGAGATCTGATGGTTTTATAAATGGGAGCTCCCCTGCACATGCTCTCTCCTGCCTGCCACTATGTGAGACATGCTTTTGCACCTCCTTGCCTTCCACCATGATTGTGAGGCCTCCCCAGCCATGCAGAACTGTGAGTCAATTCAACCTCTTTCCTTTATAAATTACCCAGTCTCAGGTATGTCTTTATTTGCGGTGTGAGAACAGACTAATACAATAAGTTGATACCAGTAGAGTGGGGTGCTGCTGTAAAGATACCCGAAAATGTGGAAGCAACTTTGGAAATGGGTAACAGGGAGAGGCTGGAACAGTTTGGAAGGCTCAGAAGAGGATAGGAAAATGTGGGAAAGTTTGGAACTTCCTAGAGACTTGTTGAATGGCTTTGACCAAAATGTTAATAGTGATATGGACAACAAGGTCCAGGCGGAGGTGGTCTCAGAGGGAGATGAGGAATTTGTTGGGAAATGGAGTAAAGTCACTCTTACTATGCAAAGACACTGCAGGCATTGTGCACCTGTATTAGAAACGGGCATAAGATAGGCGGGAAAGAGGGAAAATAAGAATTTCTTTCTAGAGTTCCCTACAGATCTGTGGAACTTTGAACTTGAGAGAGATGATTTAAGGTATCTGACAGAAGAAATTTCTAAGCAGCAAAGCATTCGAGAAGAAGCAGAGCATAAAAGTTCAGAAAATTTGTAGCCTGATGATGCAACAGAAAAGAAAAATCTATTTTCTCAGGAGACTGGGTTGTAGAAATTTGCATAAGTAATGAGGAGCCAAATGTTAATCACCAAGACAATGGGGCAAATGTCTCCAGGGCATGTTAGAGACCCTCACAGCAGACCCTCCCATCACAGGCCAGGAGGCTTAGAAGGAAAAATGGTTTTGTGGGTCCAGAACCCCCTGCTGTGTGCAGCCTAGGAACTTGGGGCCCTGCATCCCAGCTGCTCCTGCCATAGGTAAAAGGGGCCAAGGTACACCTCAGGCCATGGCTTCAGAGGGTGCAAGTTCCAAGCCTTTCAGGTTCTAGGTGGTGTTAAGCCTGCAGATGCACCAAAGTCAAGAATTAACGTTCATGAACCTCCGCCTACATTTCAGAAGATGTATGAAAATGCCTGGAAATCCAGGCAAAAGTTTGCTGTGGGGGGGAGGGGAGGGGGGGGCCCTCATGGATAACCTCTGCTAGGGCAGTGTCAAAGGGAAATATGGGGTTGGAGCTCCCACACAGAGTCCCCACTGGGGTACTGCCAAGCAGAGCTGTGAGAAAAGGGCCACCATCCTCCAGACCCCAGAATGGTAGATCCACTGACAGCTTGCACTGTGTGCCTGGAAAAGCTGCAGACACTCAATGCAGCCAGAAGGGGGGCTGTACCCTGCAAAGCCACAGGGGCGGGGCTGCCCAAGACCCTGGGAACCCACTTCTTGCATCACCTAGATGTGACACATGGAGTCAAAGGAGGTCATTTTGGAGCTTTAAGATTTGCCTGCTGGGTTTTGGACTTGCATGGGGCCTGTAGCTCTTTCGCTTTGGCCAATTTCTCCCATTTGAAACGAGTGTATTTACCCAATGCCTGTATCCCTGTGTATCTAGAAAATAACTAACTTGCTTTTGATTTTACAGGCTCATAGGTGGAAGGGACTTGCCTTGTCTCAGATGAGACTTTGGACTATGGAATTTTGAGTTAATGCTGAAATAAGAGTTTGGGGGACTTAGGGGAAGGCATGATTGCTTTTGAAATATGAGGACATGAGATTTGGGAGGGGCCGGGGAAGAATTATATGGTTTGGCTCTGTCCGCACCCAAATCTCATCTTGAATTGTAACAATTCCCATGTGTCAAGGGTGGGGCCAGGTGGAGATAACTGAATCATGGAGGCAGTTTCCCCCATGCTGTTCTCATGGTAGTGAATAAGTCTCATGAGGTCTGATGGTTTTATAAATGGATGTTCCCCTGCACATGCTCTCTCCTGCCCACCATGTCTGACTAAATTTTGTATTTTTACTAGAGACGGGCTTTCACTATGTTGGCCAGGCTGGCCTCCAACTCCTGATCTCGTGATCCGTCCACCCCGACCTCCCAAAGTGCTAGGATCATAGGCATAAGCCACCACACCCGGCCTCTTTTTTTTCTTTTTCTTTTTTTTATCTGGAGACTGAGTTTTGCACTCGTTGCCCAGGCTGGAGTGCAATGGTGCGATCTCAGCTCACTGCAGTCTCCACCTCAGCAGGAGAGCAGGAATCTTCAGTGATCCACGGGCAAATATGCAGCCATTGTGGGCACCTGTTCCTCCCGCGACCTTTGTGCCCACGTCTCTCCCTCCAGTACCTACTGCACGACCCCCCACGTCCGCCTCCTGCCATTGCCAGCAGGTGCCTTGCGCGGGTACCTGGCTGCGCTTATTCATCCATTATGGTCGCTCTGTCACTGGTGCCATTATGTGCTCACATGCCCACTCCCTCAGGTTTAGAAGTCGCGTTGCCCGGCAACAGAACAATCTGCTGGCTTAGCCTTTGGCCAAGTTGGCAGCTGGACGAGGACGCTCAGAGCCCAGCTCTTGAGAGTTCAAGTATCCGACAGTTCCCCACTGCTCCCAGGAGCGGTTACCCGGGCACTCTGTGCCCCTCATTCCTGTTTGGGCCAAGGCCGAGGACCTGCGAGTAGGGCTCAGTTGCCTGGAGCCCCTTCAGCCCATCCCCCAGTTCACTTTGCTTGTGGGATCTCCCCGTTGCTCCTGCCCCTGGACTGAGTGGCAAGCCATCCTACAAACACCCGGACACTCGACATCACTGGTGTCAAGACAACTCTAAGAAGGTTTTCCGTGATCCTGCAAGACCTGTGTTCCATCCTGGTGATTCTGTCTTCAATTTCACTGCACAGGTACCACAGTAAGCCAGTGCTGTGTGCTCTGAGTTCCAGGGCATCCCCCAGCTCAGCCACTACACTGAGCACAAGGACTCTGTGGGGCCCAGGAGCAGGTAGTCACCCCTTTGGGGTCCACAACACCTGGCGGTCCCCAGACTTGTGTCCAGGGAAGATAGTGTTGAGGGCCCTCAAGGAGAGCGGGGCAGGGATGCCTGAGCAGGACAAGGACCCCAGAGTCCAAGAAAATCCTGATGATCAGAGAACGGTCCCCGAGGTCACCGGGGATGCACGGTCTGCATTTTGGCCCCTGCGGGACAATGGAGGCCCCTCTCCCTTTGTGCCCAGGCCCGGGCCTCTGCAGACAGACCTCCACGCCCAGAGCTCAGAAATCAGACATCCTGGACGAGCTCGAGCACCAAACGAAATGCCATCTCCAGCTCCTACAGCTCCACGGGAGGCTTGCCGGGGCTAAAGCAGAGGAGGGGGCCAGCCTCATCCCGCTGCCAGCTGACCCTCAGTTACTCAAAGACAGTGAGTGAGGACAGGCCTCAGGCTGTCTCTTCGGGTCACACACGGTGTGAAAAGGGGGCAGATACAGCACCAGGGCAGACAATCGCCCCAACGGGTGGCTCCCCCAGATCCCAGGACTCTAGGCCCCGTAGACGCAAGATTCCCCTGCTGCCACGCAGGCGAGGGGAGCCTTTGATGCTGCCACCTCCCTTAGAGCTGGGGTACCGGGTCACGGCTGAAGACCTGCACCTGGAAAAAGAGACGGCATTCCAGCGCATCAACAGTGCACTGCACGTTGAGGACAAGGCCATCCCGGACTGCAGACCCTCACGGCCTTCCCACACTTTGTCCTCACTTGCAACAGGGGCTTCGGGTGGGCCTCCCGTTTCTAAAGCACCCACTATGGATGCACAGCAGGACAGACCCAAGTCCCAAGACTGCCTGGGCCTAGTGGCCCCCCTAGCATCTGCTGCAGAGGTCCCCGCTACAGCTCCCGTGTCTGGGAAGAAGCACAGACCACCAGGACCCCTGTTCTCCTCCTCAGATCCCCTTCCTGCCAACTCTTCCCACTCCCGGGACTCAGCCCAGGTCACCTCGATGATTCCTGCCCCCTTCACAGCTGCAAGCAGGGATGCCGGCATGAGAAGAACAAGGTCGGCTCCTGCAGCTGCCGCAGCAGCCCCTCCCCCCTCCACATTGAACCCCACGTCGGGGTCACTACTCAATGCAGTGGATGGAGGCCCCTCACATTTCTTGGCCTCAGCCACAGCTGCAGCACGTGCCCAGAGGTCAGAAGTGAGATATAACCAGAGATCCCAGACCTCCCGGACCAGATCGTGCCTCAAACGAAATGCCAGCTCCAGCTCCCACAGCTCTACGGAAGGCCTCCAGGAAGTAAAGCGGAGGAGGGGGCCAGCCTCATCCCACTGCCAGCTGGCCCTCAGTTCCTCAAACACAGTGAGTGAGGACGGACCTCAGGCTGTCTCTTCGGGTCACCGCTGTGAAAACAAGGCAGGTACAGCACCAGGGCAGACACTTGCCCCCAGGGGTGGCTCCCCCAGATCCCAGGCCTCTAGGCCCCACATCAACACTGCACTGCACGTTGAGGACAAGGCCATCTCGGACTGCAGACCCTCACGGCCTTCCCACACTTTGTCCTCACTTGCAACAGGGGCTTCGGGTGGGCCTCCCGTTTCTAAAGCACCCACTATGGATGCACAGCAGGACAGACCCAAGTCCCAAGACTCCCTGGGCCTACTGGCCCCCCTAGCATCTGCTGCAGAGGTCCCCTCTACAGCTCCCGTGTCTGGGAAGAAGCACAGACCACCAGGACCCCTGTTCTCCTCCTCAGATCCCCTTCCTGCCACCTCTTACCACTCCCGGGACACAGCACAGGTCACCTCGCTGATTCCTGCCACCTTCACAGCTGCAAGCAGGGATGCCGGCATGAGAAGAACAAGGTCGGCTCCTGCAGCTGCCACAGCAGCCCCTCCCCCCTCCACATTGAACAACACGTCGGGGTCACTACTCAATGCAGTGGATGGAGGCCCCTCACATTTCTTGGCCTCAGCCACAGCTGCAGCACGTGCCCAGAGGTCAGAAGTGAGATATAACCAGAGATCCCAGACCTCCCGGACCAGATCCTGCCTCAAACGAAATGCCAGCTCCAGCTCCAGCTCCCACAGCTCTACGGAAGGCCTCCAGGAACTAAAGCGGAGGAGGGGGCCAGCCTCATCCCACTGCCAGCTGGCCCACAGTTCCTCAAACACAGTGAGTGAGGACGGACCTCAGGCTGTCTCTTCGGGTCACCGCTGTGAAAACAAGGCAGGTACAGCACCAGGGCAGACACTCGCCCCCAGGGGAGGCTCCCCCAGATCCCAGGCCTCTAGGCCCCACATCAACAGTGCACTGTACGTTGAGGACAAGGCCATCTCGGACTGCAGACCCTCACGGCCTTCCCACACTTTGTCCTCACTTGCAACAGGGGCTTCGGGTGGGCCTCCCGTTTCTAAAGCACCCACTATGGACGCACAGCAGGACAGACCCAAGTCCCAAGACTGCCTGGGCCTAGTGGCCCCCCTAGCATCTGCTGCAGAGGTCCCCTCTACAGCTCCCGTGTCTGGGAAGAAGCACAGACCACCAGGACCCCTGTTCTCCTCCTCAGATCCCCTTCCTGCCACCTCTTCCCACTCCCGGGACTCAGCCCAGGTCACCTCGCTGATTCCTGCCACCTTCACAGCTGCAAGCAGGGATGCCGGCATGAGAAGAACAAGGCCTGGCACCTCGGCTCCTGCAGCTGCCGCAGCAGCCCTTCCCCCCTCCACATTGAACCCCACGTCGGGGTCGCTACTCAATGCAGTGGATGGAGGCCCCTCACATTTCTTGGCCTCAGCCACAGCTGCAGCACGTGCCCAGAGGTCAGAAGTGAGATATAACCAGAGATCCCAGACCTCCCGGACCAGATCCTGCCTCAAACGAAATGCCAGCTCCAGCTCCCACAGCTCTACGGAAGGCCTCCAGGAACTAAAGCGGAGGAGGGGGCCAGCCTCATCCCACTGCCAGCTGGCCCACAGTTCCTCAAACACAGTGAGTGAGGACGGACCTCAGGCTGTCTCTTCGGGTCACCGCTGTGAAAACAAGGCAGGTACAGCACCAGGGCAGACACTCGCCCCCAGGGGTGGCTCCCCCAGATCCCAGGCCTCTAGGCCCCGCATCAACAGTGCACTGCACGTTGAGGACAAGGCCATCTCGGACTGCAGACCCTCACGGCCTTCCCACACTTTGTCCTCACTTGCAACAGGGGCTTCGGGTGGGCCTCCCGTTTCTAAAGCACCCACTATGGATGCACAGCAGGACAGACCCAAGTCCCAAGACTGCCTGGGCCTACTGGCCCCCCTAGCATCTGCTGCAGAGGTCTCCTCTACAGCTCCCGTGTCTGGGAAGAAGCACAGACCACCAGGACCCCTGTTCTCCTCCTCAGATCCCCTTCCTGCCACCTCTTCCCACTCCGGGGACTCAGCCCAGGACACCTCGCTGATTCCTGCCCCCTTCACACCTGCAAGCAGGGATGCCGGCATCAGAAGAATGTTTCGTGTTCGAAATTGTTTGAGGGGTTTGGGTTTATTTTTGTTGGTTTTTTCTTTTTTTTTTTTGCTTACGTGGGCATCCTTCAGCTTTTAATAATCTGAAAAATTCTATTTACCCATTGTCAATGTGTATAAATTAATCTCAGTCAATTTTATACAATAAAAGGTGAACTTTTATCCATCAAACAATAATTTAACAAAAAATGTACCGGAAGAAGAATGTTCATTACAAATATAGGAAACATAAATATTACCAAATATTGGCAAGCACTAAAATGTTCAGAAATATAAGTCTATTACAGTTATAGCTCTCTCAAGCGAAAAAACAGCAGAGAAAAACTTAGTTTTCCTGAGGGGCTATTTATTTACTTAGGGATTTGTTAAAAGGTCAAATGGGGTCACACAGAATACTAAGAAGAGCTGTTCACCCAGGCCTCACTAAGAACTCTTCTTCATGCAGTAGCTATATAGTAATATGACAACTGCTCCTACGACCCAAAGAGGAACTACAGCAACTACTCTTTAGCATCTGTTGCTCCCAACTCTGCTTTGCAATTATATGACTCAAGCATTCTGGCTCCGTTAACTATTACTGCTGTTACTCCCAAGTAAATTCCCTCTAAAAAATAAAAATTTTTAAAGCTGTAATTTAAGCTCTCTGCTGCCTCATGACTTCAATTCCATCAGAGTTACGCATTGTTTCCTCTGTACATCTTTGCTCTGCTTCCATTGCTAATTCCCTAGTAAAGTGTTGTATATTCAAAGTTCCAAAGAAACAGAATATCCAAGACATCACCAATCATCCAAAACACAGTGTAGGAGGCCACAGTTAAGAGAAGCAACACCATTAGCTCTTTTTATAGGCTCGAGAACAACAGGATGCTTTGGTCCTGTATCAGCAGGACGCTTTTTGGGTAGATCCTACTGCCACCCTACTATCGGGTAGATCCTACTGTCACCCTAGCTATGGGCACATGTCAGAGTCCCATGTAATAAAGGAGACAAAAGGAAACCACCACGAGTATAAACTAAGAAAAGTACTCCAAGGTTTCTAAGAATGGAGCTGTATAACTCACTTTGCCCCATTTGTTACTTCTCCACGGTACTTACCACCACCTATTACATATATTTTGTTTATAGTCAGTCTTCCCCCATTAGAATGAAAGTTCCGTGAGGATAGGACTATACAGTCAGCCCTCAGTATCCATGGGGGACTGGTTTCAGGATCTCCTGAGGGTAACAAAGGATACTCAAGTCCCTGATATAAAATGACATAGTATTTGCACATCACCTTTGCACATCCTCCCATATACTTCATATCAACTCTAGATCACTCATAATATCCGATGTAAATGTCATGCAAATAGTTATTGTACTATATTGTGTAAGGAATAAGGACAAGAAAAAAGTCTGTACATGTTCAGTACAGACGCAATTTTTTTTTCCAATATTTCCAATCCTTGGTTGCCTTAACGGATGTAGAACCCAGGAATAAGTTCTGGTGTCCTATTGCATAGTAGGAAGAGTATAGTTAACAATAACATATTATATATTTGAAAATAGCCAGAAGAGTAGATTTTGAATTTTCTCCCTACAGAAAAATCATTATGCAAATTACCCTGATTTGATCATTACACATTGAGTACATGTATTAAAACATCACATTCTACCCCATATATATGTACAGTTATTATGTGTCCATAAAAATTTAATGTCAATGTGTGAAATAAAATGAAAAAATAAAAATTTTTAAAGCTGTAATCATCTCCATCTGGTAGGAATATATACAATCTGAAATAAAAAATATATTTGTAATTGTTAGGACAAAATAGATTATACGTTAAGTCTGCAAATTATAAATTATAAAATTCTCACAGAACCTGAAAAATTATTGATACTGTTAAATATTTAAAAAGCTGTCCTTGGAGAGAAAGAAACCTATCAGATTTACATCAACAAGTGTAATATGTCAGCCTATTACCATCTGCTACAGACTGCATGTTTGTGTTCCCTCAAAATTCATATGATAGGCCGGGCGCGGTGGCTCATGCCTGTAATCCCAGCACTTTGGGAGGCCGAGGCGGGTGGATCATGAGGTCAGGAGATCGAGATCATCCTGGCTAACATGGTAAAACCCCGTCTCTACTGAAAATACAAAAAATTAGCCGGGCGCAGTGGCGGGCGCCTTAGTCCCAGCTACTGAGGAGGCTGACGCAGGAGAACGGCGTGAACCCAGGAGGCGGAGCTTGTAGAGAGCCGAGATTGTGCCACTGCACTCCAGCCTGGGTGACAGACAGAGCGAGACTCTGTCTCAAAAAAAAAAAAAAAAAAAAAATTCATATGATAAAGCCCTAACCCCCAAGGTGAGGATACTGGGAGGCGTGGCCTTTAGGAGAGAATTAGGTTTAGATGAGGTCATGAGAATAGAGCCCCTATGGTGGCATTACTTCCTTTATAAGAAGAGACACTAGAGCTGCTTTTCTCCCTACCATGTGAGGATACCGAGAGAAGATGGCCATTTCCAATCTAGGAAGCAGGCCCTCTTTAAGAAACACAATTTGCCAACACTTTGATCTTGCACTTCCAGTCTCCAGAACTGTGAGAAATATCTGTTTTTTTGTTTGTTTGTTTTTGTTTTTTTTGAGACAGAGTCTCATTCTGTCATCCAGGCTGGAGTACAGTGGTGCGATCATGGCTCACTGCAACCTCTGCCTCCCAGGTTCAAGCAATTCTCCCACCTCAGCCTCCCAAGTAGCTCAGACTACAGGCGTGCACCACCACGCCCAGCTAATTTTCGTAGAGACAAGGTTTTGCCATGCTGCCCAGGCTAGTCTCAAACTCCTGAGCTCAAGTTATCCACCTGCCTCGGCCTCCCAAAGTGTTAGGAATACAGGCATAAGCCACCACGCCTGGTCAAAATATCTACTGTTTAAGCTACCTAATTTATGGTATTCTGTTTTAGCAGCTGAAGCAGACTAAGATACCATCCTATAAGCTACAGACCAGCACTATCCAATAGAACTTTATATGACGAGGAAATGTTTTATATCTGTGCTATCCCTTATGTTAGCCACTAGCCACATGTATCCATCAAGTATTTGAAATATGGCTAGTGCAACTAAAGAACTTAATTTTTAATTTTCTTTTTTTTTTTGAGATGGAGTCTCGCTCTGTCCCCCAGGCTGGAGTGCAGTGGTGCCATCTCGGCTCACTGCAAACTCTGCCTCCCAGGTTCACGCCATTCTCCTGCCTCAGCCTCCTGAGTAGCTGGGACTGCAGGCGCCCGCCACCACGCCCGGCTAATTTTTTGTATTTTTAATAGAGATGGGGGTTCACCGTCTTAGTAAGGATGGTCTCGATCTCCTGACCTAATGATCTGCCCGCCTCGGCCTCCCAAAGTGCTGGGATTACTGGCGTGACCCACCACGCCCGGCCAATTTTTATTTTATCTTATTTAAATAACCACATGTGGCTAGTGGCTAATGTATTGAACACTACAGCTGTAGACAATACGAAATAAATATAAAGCAGTCTCAACTTTGGAAAAACAGAAGACTCTTACTGCCTCATAATATAGATGAAAAATGAAATACTAAGATAAGTAAAACGTTCTTTAAAGAACAAAAACAAAAGAAAACCTAATGAAAGCTATAAAAGTCCATTGGATAATAATGCTACCAGTACTAAGGAAGTACAGCCCCTAAGAGTGACTTGCAGTCACAAATATAAAAATGACTATTCAAGTGAACTCCTAAGGTGAAAATTTCTTATTCACCATGCTCCAAAATGGTCTGTAATATTCTTCAGAGATGGCATGGTGGGGGAGGCAAGTGGCATCTCTGCCCAGAGAGAATACACAAGCAGAAAGTTCAACACCGCTTACCTGGTGAAACCCTACAAGCGTTTCCACTCCATACGCGCTCTGAATAATGGGATTGTGATGTCTTACACCAATTCTCAAACTGGGCGGCCAGCTGCAGCTGAATCAACTCCAGGTGCCCGTAGTTGCGATACCAAGAGTAGTAGCTGTTCACACGGATCACATCCACATACAGAGCCTAGGACCAGAGCAGCAGAGCCCGTTCAGCAACCACAAGACCGCATGACTCAGTACTCACATGCTGTGGGGGCTCCTCTGACAGAGAAGGTAAGAAGGGGATGTAATCCCAGCACTCTGGGAGGCTGAGGCAGGAGGGTGGCTTGTGGCCAGGAGTTCGAGACCAGCCTGGGCAACACAGCAAGACCCCAGCTCTACAAAAAATAGTATCAAGAAAATCAGCACGGCACAGTGGCTCATGCCTGTAATCCCAGCACATTGGGAGGCCAAGGTGGGAGGATCACTTGAGCCCAGGAGTTTGAGACCAGCCTGGGCAACATCGTAGGACTCCATTTCTACAAAACAAAACAAAAAGCCTACAACGGGAAGAGCTGCCTCTCGGGGCTGAGAACATCCAACTGCACCAATTTAGATCCTGAAATTACCCTGCCCCACAAGCAAAAAACATGGTCACAAAGTGGCCCAAAGGAGGCAGGCCTGTGATTGCACACTGACGCTCACGACGTGTGCAGCTGGGAAGGGCTGTGAGAGGCAGAGCAGCTGCCAACACGCAGTCCTCAGCCAAAACCCAGGGCCCCCGCCACTGGAACTGACTCCTCTCCAGGCAGCACTCCCAGCACTGGGCATCCCCTCACCTTGCCCTGGAGAAGCCCTCCCACCCAAGGGGCCAATGCAGTCATTCTCGCAGATAATCTTTTTCCGCTTTGTTTGGAAGACAGAGTCTCGCTCTGTTGCCCAGGCTAGAATGGAGTGGCACAATAATGCAACCTCTGCCTCCCACGATCAAGCGCAGGCGTGGTGGCATGTGCCTGTTATCCCAGCTACTTGGGAGGCTGAGGCAGGAGAATTGCTTGAACCTGGGAGGCGGAGGTTGCACTGAGCTGAGACTGTGCCACTGCACTCCAGCCTGGGCAACAGAGCAAGACTCTATCTTAAAAAAATAATAAAAAATAAAAAAGAATGCTAGTATCAGCCAGGCACGGTGGCTCATGCCTGTAATCCCAGCACTTTAGGAGGCTAAGGCAGGAGGATCACTTGAGCTCAAGAGTTTGAGACTGGCCTGGGCAACATAGTGAGATCCCATCTCTACAAAAACATTTAAAATTAGCCGGGCACAGTGGTGTACACCCGGAGTCCCAGCTACTTGGAAGGCTGAGGCAAGAGGGTTGCTTAGGCCCAGGAATTCAAGGCTGCAGTGAGCTGTGATCACACCACTGCACTCCAGCCAGAGCAACAGAGTAAGACCTTGCCTTCACACACACACACAAAAAAACAAAAAACTCAAGTTCCAACCCTGGAGTTACTAAATCAGGATCTCAGAACGCAGAGATCTGGCATTTCAATAAAACTTCCCCTGGAGATTCTGATCAGCCAGGTTTGGGCCAGATGAACTCTAAGCTCACTTAAACCTTTGACATTTTATGAGTCTATTAAATCGAGTACAAAAAATGCTGAGTCCAAACCGGGCAAACAAATCCCATCTCCCTATGCCCAGCCTCCTTGGATTCAGAAAGCCACACTGCCTGGAGAGTAAGCAGAGAGAGAATTGTCATTAACCCAAAGACCATCTTTGAAAACAGACTGGCTGCGGCTGAGTGCGGTGGCACACGCCTGTAACCCCAGCCCTTTGGAAGGCCGAGGCAGGAGGATCACTTGAGCCCAGGAGTTCGAGACCAGCCTGGGCAACATGGCAAGACCCTGTCTCTATCTTTCTAAGTAAAACAAAATAAAAAGCTCAGACTGGCAGCACATGGTTCTTTCCAGCTGTTCCCATGAGCAGGCTTCAGGACAAGCCCAGGCAAAGGCAGGGAGAAATGGGGTGGGGACCCCCAGGCTCACCCCCTTGTCTGCTGCGTAGGTGGAGTTGGTCACAAAGGTCACAGGCTGGGAGGGGTCCAAGGCTTTGGTGTGAGCAATCACCATCCTGTCCACAAAAGAGAGAAGACACAGGTTCCGTCAGTCCGGGAAAGGCTCAGACACCCTCCCATCCTCTCTGTCCCATCTTCCCCTGCCAGAACACAACTGGGGGCCAGGCACGATGGCTCACGCCTGTAATCCCAGCACTTCAGGAGGCTGAGGCAGGCAGATCACTGAGGTCAGGGGTTCAAGAACCGCCTGGCCAACATGGCAAAACCCCATTTCTACTAAATATACAAAAATTAGCCAGGCATAGTGGCACGCATCTGTAACTCCAGCTACTCGGGAGGCTGAGGCACAAGAATTGCTTGAACCCGGGAGGTGGAGGTTGCAGTGAGCCGAAATCACGCTACTGCACTCCAGCCTGGGCCACAGAGCAAGACCCTGCCCCAAAACAAACAAACAAACAAACAAACAAAAAAAAAAAAAAGAAAGAAAAAAAAGGAAAAAAAAAAAAAAAACAAAGCACAGAGCCGCTGCTTTCTTCCCTAACTTGAGATGTATTTTACATAAGGGCACGTTCCTCTAGTCCTAGACCGAGCTCTCTAACAACACTCTTTCTCCCCCACCCCTGAATCCAACTCCCCCAGAGGCGTAGCCACCCTGCCGGGTACACAGAGCTGAGGTCACTGGACTGAACACTGCCAGAAATGAGGTTCACTTCCTGAAATAGCTCTTGAACACAGGAGTGAATGGGCTGTGGATTCAGGTGGAATATTTATTAATGCATCAAGCAAACAGGTAGTGCGAGGTGGGAGGTAGGCATGAGGCTGGGTGCTAGGTGCTCAGTAATGACTCAAATCTAAGTCCACAGGTCCTGGGCAGTGGGAGTGGAGATGCATGCACAGAAAAACGGTGCAAGTGCCAGGCGAGGTGGCTCACGCCTAGAACCCCAGCACTTTGGGAGGCTTACTTGAGACCAGGCGCTTGAGACCAGCCTGGACAACATAGCAAGACCTTGTTTCTACAACAAATTTAAAAATTAGGGCCGGGCATGGTGGCTCAAGCCTGTGAGCACTTTGGGAGGCCAAGGCAGGTGGATCACGAGCTCAAGAGTTCGAGACCAGCCTGGCCAACATGGTGAAACCCCATCTCAACAAAAAATAAAGAAGAAAACTAGCTGGGCATGGTGGCGTGAGCCTGTAATCCCAGCTACTCGGGAGGGTGAGGCAGGAGAACTGTTTGTACCCAGGAGGTAGAGGATGCAGTGAGCCAAGATCGCAACACTGCTCTCCAGCCTGGGAGACAGAGCAAGACTCTGACTCGTGGGGAAAAAAAAAATATTAAAATTTAGCCTGGCAAGGCAGCGCACGTCTGTGGTCCCAGCTATTTGGGAGGCTGAGTGGGGAGGATCGCTTAAGCCCAGGAGGTCGAGATGGCAACGAGCTATGATTGCACCACTGCACTCCAGCCTGGGCAACAGAGTGAGACCCTGACTCTGAAAAACAAACAATGAAAGAAATGTTGCGAATGGAAATGACAAGTGGTGGCAGGAATTGGGCACTCTATGAGACAACAGACACATCCCCGATTGGAGAGTCAGGGACAGGCTCTTAGAAGAAATGGCCTTTATGCTGAGTCAAGTTAACCAGGAGGGATGAAGGGAAGAGGCTCCCAACAGAGGGACCAGTCCGTGCTCAGAGCTCCCAGCATCTGCCCAAGGCCTCCACAGAACAGACTGTTGTGTTTTTGTTTTGTTTTGTTTTGTTGAGATACAGAGTCTCATTCTGTAGCCCAGGCTGGAATGCAGTGGCATTATCTCAGCTCATTGCAATCTCTGCCTCCTGGTTCACCTGAGGCGATTCTCCTGCCTCAGCCTACCTGGTAGCTGGGATTACAGACGTCCACCACCATGCCCAGCTAATTTTTGTATTTTTAGTAGAGACAGGATTCACTACCTGTTGACCAGGCTGGTCTCGAACTCCTGACCTCGGGTGATCCACCCACCTCAGCCTCCCAAACTGCTGGGATTACAGGCGTGACCCACCGCATCCGGCCTAGACCGTTGTTGAAGCTGGTTTTCTTCTTCTTTCCTCAGTTCTTTTCTTTTACATCTTCCCCCCATCATTGCTCTGCCCATCCGAAGGCTGTGGCTGGCACAGGACAGAATAGAACCTCCTAGCCTCAAGTTCCAAACCCACACTCTCCAATAGCCAGGCTCTCAGATGGGAAGCTTCAAAGCCTTGTGACAGCCTGGCTGAACCTCTCCAGCCTGGGCCCTCCCTCCATTTCCTGCCCCGGAAACAGGCATCTCCTCTGGCCACCTCCCAAAGCCTGTCTGGAAGCCTCAGGCACCCGCTCCTGGAAGCCTGTACGATTCACAACAAACGGCCTGTCCACCCAGTCGTGCTGAGCACACCCCTATTCCCCCGAGCTCTGAACTGTCCTTTGCCCAGGCTAGGACAACATCTCAGAGCCTTCTGCCTGCTGCAGACTCGGCTCAGCCCAAATCACTCCATGAAATTGGGGTGTGGCATCTGCCTCAAGGAGCATTTCTACAACCTCTGCTGCCTCTACCGCAAATGAAACTGGCTCTCACCCACTGGCTCTCGGTGACGGGCACAGTGCGGAGCCCCACAGGGAGTGTGTAGAAGTCAAAGGCCCCAGTGACTTCTGTGCAGTCAGCCGCACCTACGACAGCCAAAGCGCCAGGTGTGAGCGCCCCGACAGCCTGAGCCCCATCTGGCCTGCCCTACAGCAGGAAGACCCCTCGTGCATGCACCCCAGAAGTCGCCACTGGGCCTGCAGAGAAGCAGCAATCAGAGGCTCTGCCCTTCACTGGCTGACCCTGGGACCTGCCCTTCAAAATCAGGCCTTCTCCTTGACCAGACGAGGTGGCTCATGCCTGGAATCCCTACACCTTGGGAGGCTAAGGCAGGAGGATCACCTGAGTCCAGGAGTTCAAGACCAGCCTGGGCAACCTAGTAAGACCCCAACTCTATAAAAAGGAGTTTTTTTTTTGAGACAGTCTCACTCTGTCACCCAGGATAGAGTGCTGCGGCATGATCTCAATTCACCGCGGCCCCTGCCTCCTGGGTTCAAGCAATTCCCCTGCCTCAGCCTCCCGAGTAGCTGGGATTACAGACGTGCACCATCATGCCCTGCAAATTTTCATATTTTAGTAGAGACGGGGTTTCACCATGTTGGCCAGGCTGGTCTCCAACTCCTGGCCTAAAGTGATCTGCCCGCGTCAGCCTCCCGAAGTGCTGGGATTACAGGTGTGAGCCACCATGCCCGGCCTACAAAAAAAATTTTTTTAATTAGCCAGGCATGGTGGCATGTGCCTGTAGTCCCAGCTACTCAGGAGGCCAAGGTAGGAGGATTGCAGCTCAAAGCTGCAGTGAGCTGTGATCAGGCCATTGCATTCCAGCCTGGGTGACAGAGTGAGACCATCACAAAAACAAACAAACAAACAAATAAATAAATAAATAAATAAATAAATAAAAAATCTGGGCCTCCCACCAAGGGTGGGAAACATCAGAAAGCTCAGAGGACCACACCTGCCCGTTCACCTGTCCTGGGCTCCTGCTGAAGCCAGGGCTACCAGATGGGGGCAAAAGACCTCCCTTACGCAAGTCCCAAACCACCATTACCTCCCACGAGTACAGGGAGGCGGGGTGTTCGTGCATCAGGTACGGCCACCAGAGGTTGGCACCCAGCACCTTCAGCTGGCCCTGGGTCCCAGCCTGGTTGTCCACGACTTTGTTTTCTGCATTCAAAAGACACACTTCCAACTTGAACTGGTTACTGCACTTGACGGAGATCTGGTAATTCACCAGCCCTGCAGGAGGCAAGAGAGACCAGGGCTTAGGGAGGGACATGACCTGGGTCACACAAACGGGAAGGCCCCACAATGACCACTCCCAGGCACTCTCATTTGCTTCTGTTGCTTTTTTTTTTTTTCTTTGAGATAGAATCTCGCTCTGTCACCCAGGCTGGAGTGCAGTGGCATGATCTGGACTCACTGAAACCTCTGCCTCCCAGGTTCAAGTGATTCTCCTGCCTCAGCCTCTGGAATAGCTGGGATTACAGGCACCTGCCACCACATCCAGCTAATTTTTGTATTGTTAGTAGAGACGGGGTTTCACCACATTAGCCAGGATGGTCTTGATCTCCTGACCTCGTGATCCGCCTGCCTCGGCCTCCCAAAGTGCTGGGATTACAGGCTTGAGCCACCGTGCCCGGCCCTGAACCAATGCGCCCAGCCCGCTTTTAATTTAATTTTTTAATTTTTTTTTTTTTTTTTTTTTTTTTTTTTTGAGATGGAGTCTCACTGTCACCCAGGCTGGAGTGTAGTGCTGCGATCCTGACTCGCTGCAACCTCCACCTCTGGAGTTCAGGTGATTCTCCTGCCTCAGCCTTCCGAGTACCTGGGAATACAGGAATGCACCACCATGCCCGGCGAATTTTTCTATTTTCAGTAGAGACGGAGTTTTGCCATGTTGGCCAGGCTGGTCTCGAACTCCTGAACTCAGGTGATCCACCCGCCTCAGTCTCCCAATAGATTAGATATATTATTAATGAATTGCTTCCTTTAACACCCTATTCATTGAATTTTCCAGTAAACCACAATTACTAATTACTCCTGAAATCAGAAAAGAGGTTAAAAAGATTTTATAACAGTATCCTATGAAATCTACTACTTTCAAGTAATAGTAGTTGAATTACCAAAACCCGTCACTCAAGCCAATGACTACAATTAAGATATGAGTAATATTTCCTAGATAAATAAAGTCAATTAATTATATTTGCATCTGGGAAATAGAGAAAGTACATATAAGCCATGATTTTGAAGTCAAAAGAGAGAGAATATTTGCCAAGGAGGGGTGAGTTATAGTATGTAATTATAACATACAGAAGTTTTTTGTATGCTGGTAACTAATTTTAATTTCCTACATTTTTATGTAGATTTCTGCTATTCTTGTCCTATTTTCCTAATCATCTTTCTATATGAATGACTACATAATTCTGAGAATACCAAAAGAGACAGACACAGAACCAATCGGATTCCTTTCTTCTTGAAGCTTCTGCACAGCAAAAGAAACTATCAACAGAGTGAACAGACAACCTACAGAATGGGAGAAAATTTTTGCAACAATGCATGTGACAAAGATCTAATGTCCAACACTGATAAGGAACTTAAACAAATTTACAAGAAAAAAAAAAATCTCATTAGAAAGTGGGCACAGGACATAAACAGACACTTCAAAAGAAGACACACATGCGGCCAACAAGCATATGAGAAAAAGCTCAATATCACTGATCATTAGAGAAATGCAAATCAAAACCACAATGGCATACCATCTCACACCAGTCAGTATGGTTATTATTAAGAAGTCAACGCCGGGCATGGTGGCTCACGCCTATAATCCCAGCACTTCAGGAGGCCAAGGCAGGCAGATCGCATGAGGTCAGGAGTTCCAGACCAGCCTGGACAACCTGGCGAAACCCCGTCTCTACTAAAAATACAAAAATTAGCCCAGCGTGGTGGCGGGTGCCTGTAATCCCAGCTACTCAGGATGCTGAGGCAGGAGAATCGCCTGAACCCGGGAGGCAGAGGTTGTAGTGAGCCGAGATCATACCACTGCACTCTCCAGCTTAGGTGACAGAGCGAGACTCTGTCTCAAAAAAAAAAAAAAATATTTGAATTTTGTTTAAATCGCTAACACATACTGGGCATTTAATAACAAAAAAAAAAGGACATGAGATTGTGATCCTTATGAAGGTTTGAGAGGCATTTCACTAGGGTTCAACATACAGCAGTCTGAAACATACTGTAATAATTTAATCCAATGGCTCATCTACAGCACCTAAAAAGATTACAGCAGATTCTCATTATTCAGTGTAGTTACGGTCTAGAAAGTTCCATGAACAAATAAAAAGTTAGGTTTCAGCAAGCTACTGGTCACACTTTTGTAAGCTTACCAACACCTACTTTTGTTGTATGTGTGCTTATTTAATATATATTGTTGGCCAGGCACAGTGGCTAACGCCTGTAATCCCAGCACTTTGCGAAGCCAAGGCGGGCAGATCATTTGAGGTCTGGAGTTCGAGACCAGCCTGGCCAACGTGGTGAAACCCCGTCTCTACTAAAACTACAAAAAAAAAAAAAAAAAAAAAAAAATTAGCCAGGCATGGTGGCGCATGCCTGTAGTCTTAGCTACTTGGGAGGCTAAGGCAGGGGAATCGCTTGAACCCAGGAGGCAGAGGTTGCAGTGAGCCAAGACTGCACCACTGCACTCCAGCCTGAGCAACAGAGTGAGACTCTATCTCAAAAAAAATAATAATAATAATTAATTAAATGAAGAATAAATAAATAATATACATTGTTCATTCATTAACATTGAACTCACAGCCAACGGCACTACAGCACTCACGCCTGAATGGAGTTTATTTAATGCATGTATTTTCTCTGTAAGACACATCACAGACTTCTTGGACTTGTGAATGCTAAGCAGCACTTCAGCACTATGCTTGGGGGTTAATTTAAATGGCAAAACAACCAACAAACAGCACAAAAACAGGAAAAGCATGGCATTAAATAGACCACAAAAAGGATACCTGACTATTGTATGAGAGCTGAAAAAGAAGGCAGAATATCATCCTGTTCAAACTCAAATTCTTTGACACTCTGCGCAAACACATGACTATGAAAGTGCTGTGAGTACTGATTTGGGGGTTACAAAAAATAGTAGGTGAGTTCACAAATACAAAAGCTGAAAACAAGGAGGATCGACTGTATTTTCGTAGACAATCTAATCTCAGAAGATTTCAGTTCAGACAAAAATCATGATAATTACTGTATTACAAAAGGGCACTAGATAGGGGGAAAAGAGTAAAAATCACAATTAAAACAAAGGTTCAAAATTCTGCAGCAACCATATCCAGTTACACTTTAATATGTTTGTGGCAGACTACATTATTGTTCCCAACTCATCACCCCTCCCTATATCTAAAACCTTTCCCCAAGACAATGCAGTTCCTCCTGCTAGAGATCAGGTATATTTATCTATACTATCAATGTTAGCCATGGACAAGGTATGTGCTTTGGCTGACTGAATGTTAGTGGACATGAGAGAAGCAATGGCTTAAAATGTACTTCCAGAACTGGAGTTTCCTTGTGATTCTATCACTGTGACAAAAACACATTCTCAGGTAGTCCACTGATCCAAGGGGGAACAAACACACAGAAAACATACCTAGACTCTATCTGCAGCTTGCAGCCTCACCAAGCCAAGAACAGTCAACTCACAGATATGTTAGCAAAAATAAATGTTTTTCATACCTTAAGTTTTATATAATTATTGACCTACAGTTAACTGATATACAATATACATTAATCTTAAAATATCATTATCCCATTAAAAATACTTACATTAAAAACTGAGACCACTTTCTTTCCTTTTTTTTTTTTTTTTTTTAAATTAAGAGACAGGGTGTCTCAATGTTGCCCAAGCTGGAGTTCAGTGGCTAGTGGCTATTCACAAGAACGATCATCGCACACTACCTCAAACTCCTGGGATCAAGCAATCCTCCTGCCTCAGCTTTCCAAGTCGCTGGGACTATAAGTGTGTACCACAGCATGTCAGCTCTCTCTCTCCTTCTTGACCTAAAGCCTAGCATAAAATTAGCTAAGTAGAATGTTTCCAAAGATGGCTGCATCAGTATCTCCCATCCCACATAATTTCTGTTTGATTTTGCCATTCACCCATAAAATGGTGGGATCTACCTCCCCTCCTTGCAAATTTGAGCTGGCCCTCTGATCCTGTCTAAGATCTGAAGCCAGATATTAAGGTACTTCATTAATTTCCATGTTTGTCCTCTATGCAACCTAGCAATCAAGCAAGAAGTCAAAACATACTGACATAGTTTGGATGGGTCCCCACCCAAATCTCACCTTGCATTGTAATAATTCCCACGTGTCAAGGGTGGGGCCGGGTGCAGATAACTGAATCATGGGGATGGTTCCCCCCATACTGTTCTCGCGGTAGTGACTAAGTCTCATGAGATCTGATGGTTTTATAAATGGGAGCTCCCCTGCACATGCTCTCTCCTGCCTGCCACTATGTGAGACATGCTTTTGCACCTCCTTGCCTTCCACCATGATTGTGAGGCCTCCCCAGCCATGCAGAACTGTGAGTCAATTCAACCTCTTTCCTTTATAAATTACCCAGTCTCAGGTATGTCTTTATTTGCGGTGTGAGAACAGACTAATACAATAAGTTGATACCAGTAGAGTGGGGTGCTGCTGTAAAGATACCCGAAAATGTGGAAGCAACTTTGGAAATGGGTAACAGGGAGAGGCTGGAACAGTTTGGAAGGCTCAGAAGAGGATAGGAAAATGTGGGAAAGTTTGGAACTTCCTAGAGACTTGTTGAATGGCTTTGACCAAAATGTTAATAGTGATATGGACAACAAGGTCCAGGCGGAGGTGGTCTCAGAGGGAGATGAGGAATTTGTTGGGAAATGGAGTAAAGTCACTCTTACTATGCAAAGACACTGCAGGCATTGTGCACCTGTATTAGAAACGGGCATAAGATAGGCGGGAAAGAGGGAAAATAAGAATTTCTTTCTAGAGTTCCCTACAGATCTGTGGAACTTTGAACTTGAGAGAGATGATTTAAGGTATCTGACAGAAGAAATTTCTAAGCAGCAAAGCATTCGAGAAGAAGCAGAGCATAAAAGTTCAGAAAATTTGTAGCCTGATGATGCAACAGAAAAGAAAAATCTATTTTCTCAGGAGACTGGGTTGTAGAAATTTGCATAAGTAATGAGGAGCCAAATGTTAATCACCAAGACAATGGGGCAAATGTCTCCAGGGCATGTTAGAGACCCTCACAGCAGACCCTCCCATCACAGGCCAGGAGGCTTAGAAGGAAAAATGGTTTTGTGGGTCCAGAACCCCCTGCTGTGTGCAGCCTAGGAACTTGGGGCCCTGCATCCCAGCTGCTCCTGCCATAGGTAAAAGGGGCCAAGGTACACCTCAGGCCATGGCTTCAGAGGGTGCAAGTTCCAAGCCTTTCAGGTTCTAGGTGGTGTTAAGCCTGCAGATGCACCAAAGTCAAGAATTAACGTTCATGAACCTCCGCCTACATTTCAGAAGATGTATGAAAATGCCTGGAAATCCAGGCAAAAGTTTGCTGTGGGGGGGAGGGGAGGGGGGGGCCCTCATGGATAACCTCTGCTAGGGCAGTGTCAAAGGGAAATATGGGGTTGGAGCTCCCACACAGAGTCCCCACTGGGGTACTGCCAAGCAGAGCTGTGAGAAAAGGGCCACCATCCTCCAGACCCCAGAATGGTAGATCCACTGACAGCTTGCACTGTGTGCCTGGAAAAGCTGCAGACACTCAATGCAGCCAGAAGGGGGGCTGTACCCTGCAAAGCCACAGGGGCGGGGCTGCCCAAGACCCTGGGAACCCACTTCTTGCATCACCTAGATGTGACACATGGAGTCAAAGGAGGTCATTTTGGAGCTTTAAGATTTGCCTGCTGGGTTTTGGACTTGCATGGGGCCTGTAGCTCTTTCGCTTTGGCCAATTTCTCCCATTTGAAACGAGTGTATTTACCCAATGCCTGTATCCCTGTGTATCTAGAAAATAACTAACTTGCTTTTGATTTTACAGGCTCATAGGTGGAAGGGACTTGCCTTGTCTCAGATGAGACTTTGGACTATGGAATTTTGAGTTAATGCTGAAATAAGAGTTTGGGGGACTTAGGGGAAGGCATGATTGCTTTTGAAATATGAGGACATGAGATTTGGGAGGGGCCGGGGAAGAATTATATGGTTTGGCTCTGTCCGCACCCAAATCTCATCTTGAATTGTAACAATTCCCATGTGTCAAGGGTGGGGCCAGGTGGAGATAACTGAATCATGGAGGCAGTTTCCCCCATGCTGTTCTCATGGTAGTGAATAAGTCTCATGAGGTCTGATGGTTTTATAAATGGATGTTCCCCTGCACATGCTCTCTCCTGCCCACCATGTCTGACTAAATTTTGTATTTTTACTAGAGACGGGCTTTCACTATGTTGGCCAGGCTGGCCTCCAACTCCTGATCTCGTGATCCGTCCACCCCGACCTCCCAAAGTGCTAGGATCATAGGCATAAGCCACCACACCCGGCCTCTTTTTTTTCTTTTTCTTTTTTTTATCTGGAGACTGAGTTTTGCACTCGTTGCCCAGGCTGGAGTGCAATGGTGCGATCTCAGCTCACTGCAGTCTCCACCTCAGCAGGAGAGCAGGAATCTTCAGTGATCCACGGGCAAATATGCAGCCATTGTGGGCACCTGTTCCTCCCGCGACCTTTGTGCCCACGTCTCTCCCTCCAGTACCTACTGCACGACCCCCCACGTCCGCCTCCTGCCATTGCCAGCAGGTGCCTTGCGCGGGTACCTGGCTGCGCTTATTCATCCATTATGGTCGCTCTGTCACTGGTGCCATTATGTGCTCACATGCCCACTCCCTCAGGTTTAGAAGTCGCGTTGCCCGGCAACAGAACAATCTGCTGGCTTAGCCTTTGGCCAAGTTGGCAGCTGGACGAGGACGCTCAGAGCCCAGCTCTTGAGAGTTCAAGTATCCGACAGTTCCCCACTGCTCCCAGGAGCGGTTACCCGGGCACTCTGTGCCCCTCATTCCTGTTTGGGCCAAGGCCGAGGACCTGCGAGTAGGGCTCAGTTGCCTGGAGCCCCTTCAGCCCATCCCCCAGTTCACTTTGCTTGTGGGATCTCCCCGTTGCTCCTGCCCCTGGACTGAGTGGCAGGCCATCCTACAAACACCCGCACACTCGACATCACTGGTGTCAAGACAACTCTAAGAAGGTTTTCCGTGATCCTGCAAGACCTGTGTTCCATCCTGGTGATTCTGTCTTCAATTTCACTGCACAGGTACCACAGTAAGCCAGTGCTGTGTGCTCCGAGTTCCAGGGCATCCCCCAGCTCAGCCACTACACTGAGCACAAGGACTCTGTGGGGCCCAGGAGCAGGTAGTCACCCCTTTGGGGTCCACAACACCCGGCTGTCCCCAGACTTGTGTCCAGGGAAGATAGTGTTGAGGGCCCTCAAGGAGAGCGGGGCAGGGATGCCTGAGCAGGACAAGGACCCCAGAGTCCAAGAAAATCCTGATGATCAGAGAACGGTCCCCGAGGTCACCGGGGATGCACGGTCTGCATTTTGGCCCCTGCGGGACAATGGAGGCCCCTCTCCCTTTGTGCCCAGGCCCGGGCCTCTGCAGACAGACCTCCACGCCCAGAGCTCAGAAATCAGATATAACCACACATCCCAGACATCCTGGACGAGCTCGAGCACCAAACGAAATGCCATCTCCAGCTCCTACAGCTCCACGGGAGGCTTGCCGGGGCTAAAGCAGAGGAGGGGGCCAGCCTCATCCCGCTGCCAGCTGACCCTCAGTTACTCAAAGACAGTGAGTGAGGACAGGCCTCAGGCTGTCTCTTCGGGTCACACACGGTGTGAAAAGGGGGCAGATACAGCACCAGGGCAGACAATCGCCCCAACGGGTGGCTCCCCCAGATCCCAGGACTCTAGGCCCCGTAGACGCAAGATTCCCCTGCTGCCACGCAGGCGAGGGGAGCCTTTGATGCTGCCACCTCCCTTAGAGCTGGGGTACCGGGTCACGGCTGAAGACCTGCACCTGGAAAAAGAGACGGCATTCCAGCGCATCAACAGTGCACTGCACGTTGAGGACAAGGCCATCCCGGACTGCAGACCCTCACGGCCTTCCCACACTTTGTCCTCACTTGCAACAGGGGCTTCGGGTGGGCCTCCCGTTTCTAAAGCACCCACTATGGACGCACAGCAGGACAGACCCAAGTCCCAAGACTGCCTGGGCCTAGTGGCCCCCCTAGCATCTGCTGCAGAGGTCCCCGCTACAGCTCCCGTGTCTGGGAAGAAGCACAGACCACCAGGACCCCTGTTCTCCTCCTCAGATCCCCTTCCTGCCAACTCTTCCCACTCCCGGGACTCAGCCCAGGTCACCTCGATGATTCCTGCCCCCTTCACAGCTGCAAGCAGGGATGCCGGCATGAGAAGAACAAGGTCGGCTCCTGCAGCTGCCGCAGCAGCCCCTCCCCCCTCCACATTGAACCCCACGTCGGGGTCACTACTCAATGCAGTGGATGGAGGCCCCTCACATTTCTTGGCCTCAGCCACAGCTGCAGCACGTGCCCAGAGGTCAGAAGTGAGATATAACCAGAGATCCCAGACCTCCCGGACCAGATCCTGCCTCAAACGAAATGCCAGCTCCAGCTCCCACAGCTCTACGGAAGGCCTCCAGGAAGTAAAGCGGAGGAGGGGGCCAGCCTCATCCCACTGCCAGCTGGCCCTCAGTTCCTCAAACACAGTGAGTGAGGACGGACCTCAGGCTGTCTCTTCGGGTCACCGCTGTGAAAACAAGGCAGGTACAGCACCAGGGCAGACACTTGCCCCCAGGGGTGGCTCCCCCAGATCCCAGGCCTCTAGGCCCCACATCAACACTTCACTGCACGTTGAGGACAAGGCCATCTCGGACTGCAGACCCTCACGGCCTTCCCACACTTTGTCCTCACTTGCAACAGGGGCTTCGGGTGGGCCTCCCGTTTCTAAAGCACCCACTATGGATGCACAGCAGGACAGACCCAAGTCCCAAGACTCCCTGGGCCTACTGGCCCCCCTAGCATCTGCTGCAGAGGTCCCCTCTACAGCTCCCGTGTCTGGGAAGAAGCACAGACCACCAGGACCCCTGTTCTCCTCCTCAGATCCCCTTCCTGCCACCTCTTACCACTCCCGGGACACAGCACAGGTCACCTCGCTGATTCCTGCCACCTTCACAGCTGCAAGCAGGGATGCCGGCATGAGAAGAACAAGGTCGGCTCCTGCAGCTGCCACAGCAGCCCCTCCCCCCTCCACATTGAACAACACGTCGGGGTCACTACTCAATGCAGTGGATGGAGGCCCCTCACATTTCTTGGCCTCAGCCACAGCTGCAGCACGTGCCCAGAGGTCAGAAGTGAGATATAACCAGAGATCCCAGACCTCCCGGACCAGATCCTGCCTCAAACGAAATGCCAGCTCCAGCTCCAGCTCCCACAGCTCTACGGAAGGCCTCCAGGAACTAAAGCGGAGGAGGGGGCCAGCCTCATCCCACTGCCAGCTGGCCCACAGTTCCTCAAACACAGTGAGTGAGGACGGACCTCAGGCTGTCTCTTCGGGTCACCGCTGTGAAAACAAGGCAGGTACAGCACCAGGGCAGACACTCGCCCCCAGGGGAGGCTCCCCCAGATCCCAGGCCTCTAGGCCCCACATCAACAGTGCACTGTACGTTGAGGACAAGGCCATCTCGGACTGCAGACCCTCACGGCCTTCCCACACTTTGTCCTCACTTGCAACAGGCGCTTCGGGTGGGCCTCCCGTTTCTAAAGCACCCACTATGGACGCACAGCAGGACAGACCCAAGTCCCAAGACTGCCTGGGCCTAGTGGCCCCCCTAGCATCTGCTGCAGAGGTCCCCTCTACAGCTCCCGTGTCTGGGAAGAAGCACAGACCACCAGGACCCCTGTTCTCCTCCTCAGATCCCCTTCCTGCCACCTCTTCCCACTCCCGGGACTCAGCCCAGGTCACCTCGCTGATTCCTGCCACCTTCACAGCTGCAAGCAGGGATGCCGGCATGAGAAGAACAAGGCCTGGCACCTCGGCTCCTGCAGCTGCCGCAGCAGCCCTTCCCCCCTCCACATTGAACCCCACGTCGGGGTCGCTACTCAATGCAGTGGATGGAGGCCCCTCACATTTCTTGGCCTCAGCCACAGCTGCAGCACGTGCCCAGAGGTCAGAAGTGAGATATAACCAGAGATCCCAGACCTCCCGGACCAGATCCTGCCTCAAACGAAATGCCAGCTCCAGCTCCCACAGCTCTACGGAAGGCCTCCAGGAACTAAAGCGGAGGAGGGGGCCAGCCTCATCCCACTGCCAGCTGGCCCACAGTTCCTCAAACACAGTGAGTGAGGACGGACCTCAGGCTGTCTCTTCGGGTCACCGCTGTGAAAACAAGGCAGGTACAGCACCAGGGCAGACACTCGCCCCCAGGGGTGGCTCCCCCAGATCCCAGGCCTCTAGGCCCCGCATCAACAGTGCACTGCACGTTGAGGACAAGGCCATCTCGGACTGCAGACCCTCACGGCCTTCCCACACTTTGTCCTCACTTGCAACAGGGGCTTCGGGTGGGCCTCCCGTTTCTAAAGCACCCACTATGGATGCACAGCAGGACAGACCCAAGTCCCAAGACTGCCTGGGCCTACTGGCCCCCCTAGCATCTGCTGCAGAGGTCTCCTCTACAGCTCCCGTGTCTGGGAAGAAGCACAGACCACCAGGACCCCTGTTCTCCTCCTCAGATCCCCTTCCTGCCACCTCTTCCCACTCCGGGGACTCAGCCCAGGACACCTCGCTGATTCCTGCCCCCTTCACACCTGCAAGCAGGGATGCCGGCATCAGAAGAATGTTTCGTGTTCGAAATTGTTTGAGGGGTTTGGGTTTATTTTTGTTGGTTTTTTCTTTTTTTTTTTTGCTTACGTGGGCATCCTTCAGCTTTTAATAATCTGAAAAATTCTATTTACCCATTGTCAATGTGTATAAATTAATCTCAGTCAATTTTATACAATAAAAGGTGAACTTTTATCCATCAAACAATAATTTAACAAAAAATGTACCGGAAGAAGAATGTTCATTACAAATATAGGAAACATAAATATTACCAAATATTGGCAAGCACTAAAATGTTCAGAAATATAAGTCTATTACAGTTATAGCTCTCTCAAGCGAAAAAACAGCAGAGAAAAACTTAGTTTTCCTGAGGGGCTATTTATTTACTTAGGGATTTGTTAAAAGGTCAAATGGGGTCACACAGAATACTAAGAAGAGCTGTTCACCCAGGCCTCACTAAGAACTCTTCTTCATGCAGTAGCTATATAGTAATATGACAACTGCTCCTACGACCCAAAGAGGAACTACAGCAACTACTCTTTAGCATCTGTTGCTCCCAACTCTGCTTTGCAATTATATGACTCAAGCATTCTGGCTCCGTTAACTATTACTGCTGTTACTCCCAAGTAAATTCCCTCTAAAAAATAAAAATTTTTAAAGCTGTAATTTAAGCTCTCTGCTGCCTCATGACTTCAATTCCATCAGAGTTACGCATTGTTTCCTCTGTACATCTTTGCTCTGCTTCCATTGCTAATTCCCTAGTAAAGTGTTGTATATTCAAAGTTCCAAAGAAACAGAATATCCAAGACATCACCAATCATCCAAAACACAGTGTAGGAGGCCACAGTTAAGAGAAGCAACACCATTAGCTCTTTTTATAGGCTCGAGAACAACAGGATGCTTTGGTCCTGTATCAGCAGGACGCTTTTTGGGTAGATCCTACTGCCACCCTACTATCGGGTAGATCCTACTGTCACCCTAGCTATGGGCACATGTCAGAGTCCCATGTAATAAAGGAGACAAAAGGAAACCACCACGAGTATAAACTAAGAAAAGTACTCCAAGGTTTCTAAGAATGGAGCTGTATAACTCACTTTGCCCCATTTGTTACTTCTCCACGGTACTTACCACCACCTATTACATATATTTTGTTTATAGTCAGTCTTCCCCCATTAGAATGAAAGTTCCGTGAGGATAGGACTATACAGTCAGCCCTCAGTATCCATGGGGGACTGGTTTCAGGATCTCCTGAGGGTAACAAAGGATACTCAAGTCCCTGATATAAAATGACATAGTATTTGCACATCACCTTTGCACATCCTCCCATATACTTCATATCAACTCTAGATCACTCATAATATCCGATGTAAATGTCATGCAAATAGTTATTGTACTATATTGTGTAAGGAATAAGGACAAGAAAAAAGTCTGTACATGTTCAGTACAGACGCAATTTTTTTTTCCAATATTTCCAATCCTTGGTTGCCTTAACGGATGTAGAACCCAGGAATAAGTTCTGGTGTCCTATTGCATAGTAGGATGAGTATAGTTAACAATAACATATTATATATTTGAAAATAGCCAGAAGAGTAGATTTTGAATTTTCTCCCTACAGAAAAATCATTATGCAAATTACCCTGATTTGATCATTACACATTGAGTACATGTATTAAAACATCACATTCTACCCCATATATATGTACAGTTATTATGTGTCCATAAAAATTTAATGTCAATGTGTGAAATAAAATGAAAAAATAAAAATTTTTAAAGCTGTAATTATCTCCATCTGGTAGGAATATATACAATCTGAAATAAAAAATATATTTGTAATTGTTAGGACAAAATAGATTATACGTTAAGTCTGCAAATTATAAATTATAAAATTCTCACAGAACCTGAAAAATTATTGATACTGTTAAATATTTAAAAAGCTGTCCTTGGAGAGAAAGAAACCTATCAGATTTACATCAACAAGTGTAATATGTCAGCCTATTACCATCTGCTACAGACTGCATGTTTGTGTTCCCTCAAAATTCATATGATAGGCCGGGCGCGGTGGCTCATGCCTGTAATCCCAGCACTTTGGGAGGCCGAGGCGGGTGGATCATGAGGTCAGGAGATCGAGATCATCCTGGCTAACATGGTAAAACCCCGTCTCTACTGAAAATACAAAAAATTAGCCGGGCGCAGTGGCGGGCGCCTTAGTCCCAGCTACTGAGGAGGCTGACGCAGGAGAACGGCGTGAACCCAGGAGGCGGAGCTTGTAGAGAGCCGAGATTGTGCCACTGCACTCCAGCCTGGGTGACAGACAGAGCGAGACTCTGTCTCAAAAAAAAAAAAAAAAAAAATTCATATGATAAAGCCCTAACCCCCAAGGTGAGGATACTGGGAGGCGTGGCCTTTAGGAGAGAATTAGGTTTAGATGAGGTCATGAGAATAGAGCCCCTATGGTGGCATTACTTCCTTTATAAGAAGAGACACTAGAGCTGCTTTTCTCCCTACCATGTGAGGATACCGAGAGAAGATGGCCATTTCCAATCTAGGAAGCAGGCCCTCTTTAAGAAACACAATTTGCCAACACTTTGATCTTGCACTTCCAGTCTCCAGAACTGTGAGAAATATCTGTTTTTTTGTTTGTTTGTTTTTGTTTTTTTTGAGACAGAGTCTCATTCTGTCATCCAGGCTGGAGTACAGTGGTGCGATCATGGCTCACTGCAACCTCCGCCTCCCAGGTTCAAGCAATTCTCCCACCTCAGCCTCCCAAGTAGCTCAGACTACAGGCGTGCACCACCATGCCCAGCTGATTTTCGTAGAGACAAGGTTTTGCCATGCTGCCCAGGCTAGTCTCAAACTCCTGAGCTCAAGTTATCCACCTGCCTCGGCCTCCCAAAGTGTTAGGAATACAGGCATAAGCCACCACGCCTGGTCAAAATATCTACTGTTTAAGCTACCTAATTTATGGTATTCTGTTTTAGCAGCTGAAGCAGACTAAGATACCATCCTATAAGCTACAGACCAGCACTATCCAATAGAACTTTATATGACGAGGAAATGTTTTATATCTGTGCTATCCCTTATGTTAGCCACTAGCCACATGTATCCATCAAGTATTTGAAATATGGCTAGTGCAACTAAAGAACTTAATTTTTAATTTTCTTTTTTTTTTTTGAGATGGAGTCTCGCTCTGTCCCCCAGGCTGGAGTGCAGTGGCGCCATCTCGGCTCACTGCAAACTCTGCCTCCCAGGTTCACGCCATTCTCCTGCCTCAGCCTCCTGAGTAGCTGGGACTGCAGGCGCCCGCCACCACGCCCGGCTAATTTTTTGTATTTTTAATAGAGATGGGGGTTCACCGTCTTAGTAAGGATGGTCTCGATCTCCTGACCTAATGATCTGCCCGCCTCGGCCTCCCAAAGTGCTGGGATTACCGGCGTGAGCCACCACGCCCGGCCAATTTTTATTTCATCTTATTTAAATAACCACATGTGGCTAGTGGCTAATGTATTGAACACTACAGCTGTAGACAATACGAAATAAATATAAAGCAGTCTCCACTTTGGAAAAACAGAAGACTCTTACTGCCTCATAGTATAGATTAAAAAATGAAATACTAAGACAAGTAAAACGTTCTTTAAAGAACAAAAACAAAAGAAAACCTAATGAAAGCTAAAAAAGTCCATTGGATAATAATGCTACCAGTACTAAGGAAGTACAGCCCCTAAAAGTGACTTGCAGTCACAAATATAAAAATGACTATTCAAGTGAACTCCTAAGGTGAAAATTTCTTATTCACCATGCTCCAAAATGGTCTGTAATATTCTTCAGAGATGGCATGGTAAAGTACGATAAAAGGGTAATATTAACAGTATGCTGTCACAGGTGCCATTCTCTTAAAAAAGAAATCCAAAAATAAATATAAATGGAAAGCAAATAATTAATGGAGTTTTGACGGTCAATCAATGGTAAATATTATTGGCATTAGATTTTTCTATTAATTATAGTTTACCTATGATCATGTATTTTTCCATTTAAAAATTACCCTAAAACTTAATGGCTTAAAATAACAAATATGTATGACACAATTTATAGAAGTCAGGGAAATGATGGATTTGGGTAGGTGGTTCTGACTCGAAGTCTCTCATGAGTAAAGGTTGCTGTCATGTTGTTGACCCAGGCAGCATCCCCTGAAGCCTTTAACTTGTGTTGGAAGGTCCGTGTCTTAGTTTGTTTGCACTGTCGCTACAGAATACCATAGACAGGGTAGCTTATAAACAACAGAAACGTTTCTAATGGTACCGGAGGCTGGATGGTGCAAAATCAAGGTGCTTGCAGATTTGGTGTCTGGTCAGAGCCCATTTTTTAGTTCATAGATTACTGTCCTCTAGCTCACATGGCAGAAGGGGCAAGGACGCTTTTTGGGGTCTCTTTTACAAGGGCACTAATCCCCGGCTGGGCACGGTGGCTCACATCTGTAATCCCAGTACTTTGGGAGGCTGAGGCAGGCAGATCACGAGGTCAGGAGTTCCAGACCAGCCTGGCCAGTATGGTGAAACCCCGTCTCTACTAAAAATACAAAAATTAGCCAGGTGTGGTGGTGCGTACCTGTAGTCTCAGCTACTCAGCTACTCAGGAGGCTGAGGCAGAAGAAACACTTGAACCCAGGAGGCAGACGCTGCAGTGAGCTGACATGGCACCACTGCACTCCAGCCTGGGTAACAGAGCAAAACTCTGTCTCAAAAAATAAATAAATAAATAAATAAAAATAAAAATAAAAAATAATAATCAAGGCACTAATCCCCAACATGAAGACAGACTATCATCTACCAAAAGCTCCACCTCCTACTATCATTACACTGGGGGTTAGGATTTCACAAATTCAGTGCATCATAGTCTGCTTCTAGAATGTTTAATCATTTGGCTGGATATCAGATAGGATGCCTCGGTTCTTCATGTGAGCTTTCTAGAAAAGATAGTTTGGAATTATTTGCATGGTGGCTGGGCTCGTAAAGAGTTGAAGGAGAGAAAGAGAGAGAAACACCAGTAAGGAGCAAATTAGTTCACTCAAAATTAAAACCCTAGCCTTTGTGACCTTGTCTCAGAAGGTAACATTCCAATCCTGTGGTGTTTTATTTCTTAGATGGGAGTCACTCAGCTTAGCCTGCCTTCAAGGGGAGGAGTATGAAGCTCCACTTCTTAAACTGAGAAGAATCAACAAATATGTAGATATATATATTTTTAATAGTATTACAGCTCATGAACCCATTTAAACCCATTTTAGAACTTTAAAGAAATATTTTAAAACGGAATTTTCAATTAAGCAGAAGAAATTGCCAGCTGTGGAACAGTGAACTTTATCGCTGAAATCACACACACATATATACACACACACAGTGCAAACTCATACATGATCAAATCTATAATCTTATTACACAAAGTTTTGTGAGAGGAAAAATGCTTGACTTTTCAAAAGGGCTCATTTATTAAAAATAAAATGACCATTGTGTTCATTTTAGCTGCAACCTTTAAGCAATCAATGACTATATACTTGCTGTAATCATCCTTTAAAATTAGAATTATTGAAAAGCTTTATCACTGATGAATGAAAGAAAGTAATATTGATTTGTGGCCAAGAGAGATAATCTCAGGCAATAAACAGGTGCAGTCTTTGAAGGAATCATTTTATTTTATTACTTTCTGACATTATTGAAGCCAATTTTAAATAAATTCATCATGTTTTTAAATTTAATCACGTATTATTTTATCATACATTAGGTAAAGTTTCAATCTAAGTAACTCCTGGATAAAAAATGAAGTATATCAATTTACAATTACAAATACCCAAATTGTACAGGCATGCATTTTTCAATGACATTTATAAATTGTGTTTTGTTGTTTGTGCCTTGTGTTTGTTTTATTAATCAAATTAATTTATACAGATATATGTATGGAAATGAGACAGATATAACCAGTTCTCTATAAGTAAGCATTATCTAATGGAGTCTTTCCTTTCACTAATGATCATCAGGACAGCTAGGGAAGTGAGTTGAAATTTTCAGGCCATTAGGTTAATAGTTCTAGTAATTCTAGTAATGTTTCGACAGTCATAATATAAATGATACTATGTGGCTTGAATTAATGCATTTTCTTATGTAACAAATAATAAGACAATTTTTAAAAGTGGTAATTACTATTTTTAAATATGACAATTAAAAATAATGAAAGAAAAGAGGTTGTACATTGAGTAGCCATAACATTATCTTTAAACATATTTATTCTTCATTTCCTAACTTTTCCCACCTTTTGGCTAAATCGTATGTTCTTTCTCTAACCTCACTTCTGTTTTATTACTCTCTGGGAAAGATTTTTATATAAAACGTCTAAGCAATCAAACCTAACACAGGATGAATTTCTACACATTACTATACCCTCTGGTCACTATTTTTTTCTTCTCTTTATTGCCCATTTCCCTGATCTTGAAACATTCCAATTATTTGCCTTCCATGACATTCTACTCTTACTTTTACTTTTCTGTCTCTGATTACTCATTTCCAGTTCCTTTTGTCATCTCCTTGTCTTCCTACACCTGCCAATTAAATTTGAATTTCCTCTGCATTTCATCTTATGTCTCCTTTTCTTCTGCCAAATTCTCTCCTTAGACAAATACAGTCATTCCCATGGTTTTATATCCCACTTATATTCAAGGGCTCTAGAATGTATAGCGCCAGGCCAAATCTATCTTAAGAACTTACTTTACTTAACCAATTACAACTGCATCTGCTCAGGATCATGTAACCCACATCAGCATTTGGCTCTTCTGTAGACCCATTTTTTCTTTTCCTGGAAGTCTATTTTGACACCTACTTTCTGTCACTACCCACGTTTTAGCATTTAGCCTTGTCAATTTACTCTCATCCATATGTAACTCTATCCATTTTCTTCTCTCTATTATGAACAGCAGTTTGAGCCATCATGACCAATTTTGCAGTATCCCTTCTTAAATTAGCCTCCTGTTTCGCATTGGACATTTTCACCCCCCAGCAATTCCACCGATTTCATTCTCGGAAAAATATAAATGAAGAGTTACATTTTTCAATAGCCATAATCATTAAATTTCCATGTGTAAGAAAATGTTCAGAACAGTATCAGTGCATTTATAATAAAATTTTAAAACTTGACCCACAAATCTCTACTTGTCCTTCTAGTTTTATTTCATTTGTCTCTCGTCAATCTCTACATTCTCATCACCACAATCTTTTAATTCATCTGAAAGCTAAGCTCTCTCTTAATTTACATTCTCTATACTTGCAATTTTGTCTACCTAGAAGTGTCTTCTTCCATCTTTGGATTGTTATTGCAAATCCATTGAATAGTTCTCATCTGAATTGTTTCTTCCTTGGGATGACTTATAAACACTTCATCCTACAGCCAAATCAGAAGACCAATATCAAAATCTTTCATCACATCCTAAATTTGCTTATATGTAATTATATGGCAAGAATCTCTTTGTCTTTATAATCATGATTCACTTATCTATGTTTTTTAAAAACTCTTCTAGGTGGTGATGCTAAGCTCCGTAATGTTGGGCTTGTTACCTGTCTCAACTATCTTCCACACCTACCACAGTACCTGCTACATAGATGTATTCAATATATATTTTTAGAATTAGTAAATGATGAGCAAGCGTGTACTTTTGTTCTCTTTCATTACAGTGTTAGAAATGCTATTACAGCATTAGAAAAGATAATCAGAAAGAAAATTTAATAGATCATCAGAAAAAAATCCCAAGACTTTTAGGCAAATGAGCCTACAAACACAGGTGGAATGGACTTGCAATTTACCAAGAAATAGGTTTGTCATACTTAGAAACCAACTGTATAAACATGTTTTTATCTATTAATAACTCCATTTTCCAAAACGCTCTACTTTATATGAGACAATTCTTGATGGAAATACCATTTGCTTCTAGGCTCGTTGCTTAAACATAAAGTTAAAAATCTTTGTATGACACATAAAATTGTGGTGACTGCTTAACTTTGCAACTATAGCGCTCCTGAAATGCTCATTTAACCAGTCTGTGTTCCAGACCTACAGAACTTAGATGGTGCTAACATTGCGCAAAAATTGTGTATTTCTTCTACAACTAACTTCTGATAAAAAGGGGGCAGAGAAGGTTAACTCTCTCCCCCTTTAGCTTTATTTGCTTAGTGAATTTCTACAAAACATAATTTAAGTGCTATATTTTTCCAAGGTTTTAATAAGGAAATAAAAACCGCAATAGGTATCTTAAGCAGAAAGTGCATTTCATACATATACAATAGGAAGGGCTAAAATAACTAAAGTAGCTGTGGCATGGAGGAAGGTTTTGAGTTCTTGAATTCAAAGGCACGCAATCATTTCTGCAATCCTGGGTCAAAAAGATGCTCCTGCTATTAAAACTTTAAGCCTCTTATGCCCATGAAACTGGGGATTAGGCACAAGGATATTGAATCCTACCACTTCCACTACTTCTGAACTATTGTCCCCATGATTTCACTTGCCAGAATCAACAATAGCAAGACAGGCTTTGATCTCTTCCATTTTTCTAAGTCTGATTCATATGCAAACAATCGGTAAGTGGTCTAAGCTGCATTCATAAAGCTAGCTCAAGGGAAGCTGCATTGCTTGTTTTGTTTTAATTTTCTAACCTCTTCAAAGAGTGGAACGAAAGTTGAGGAAACCTGTCCAACAGTCTACCACACACCTTCCATGAAAGGTTCCCCAACACCTCCAACAAAATAATGTAAACACATGCTGGAACCTATATTACTCTCGCACCATAACACTTCCCACACTTCCCACAATACTTTTTCTCTTCATGGGAATATCCTTCCAAAACATGCTGATATCTCCTAAGCATTATTCATCTGTCGAATTTTCCCACCTATTGTAAGGTCTTCCAATTGTTAGGTTCTTAATAAATATATTTTAAATTATTAAAATTCTGAACTAATGGGTAATCAACTGTACAACCCGAATTGCTGATTTGCATACAGCTGAAGTCCCTCCTCAAAACTTCTGTAATACATGAAACTTAGGCAAATGGTTGGGTCATTACCATATATTACTTTATATTTTTATTTATCAGTATATGTGATTACAGTTATGCTTATGTTAATTGATATGTATATGTTAACTTTTATACATATGTACATTGTATTATTTTGTTACATAGCACAGCATTTTGTACTCAAAAAGTGACCAATAATAATAAGCTACATACTTTGGGAAGCATTGCAGGCTAGTCGTACAGTTTTGTTTTGTTTTTTTCCCTGCAGCCTGACAACCTTTTCAGTCATTCACTAAACCTCTCTCAGCTTCAGTTTCTTCATCTGCAACATATAGCAAATAATAAAACTTAACTCAGATGGTTCTAGTGTGAAATAATACAGAGTAAATGTGCCACCAAATACAAACCAATGGCTTGATTGACATAACTCACTGCTAATTTTCTTGAAATGATTCAAAGTATTTTCCAGACAAGCACACACTGAGGGAATTCGTCACCACCAAACGAGTCCTATGAGAAATACTCAAAGGTGTCCCAAACACAAAAATGAAAGGTCAACATTCATCATCATCATCAAAACACATGAAAGTAGCAAACTCATAGGTCTTGTAAAACAGTCACACAAAGTAGGACGAGCAATCAAATAGCAACACAACAGATTTCCACCAAACCACAAAGACAAAGAGACACACAGAAAGAAAAACAAAAAACAACAACAAAATAACCCCAAGGAACTTATAAAACAAGTAGAAAACAAACAGCAATATGGCAGAAAGAAAACCTCATGTATTAACATTAACCTTGAATGTAAATGAATTAAACATTCCACTTAAAATATATAGATTGATAGATATTGGGCCAGGTGCAGTTGCTCACACCTGTAATCCCAGCACTTTGGGAGGCCGAGGTGGGTGGATCACGAGGTCAGGAGTTCGAGGCCAGGCTGGCCAACATAGTGAAACCCTATCTCCATTAAAAATACAAAAATTAGCCAGGCGTGGTGGCCGGCACCTGTAATCCCATCTACTTGGGAGGCTGAAGCAGGAGAATCGCTTGAACCTGCAAGACGGAGTTTGCAGTGAGCCAAGATTGCGCCACTGCACTCCACTCTGGATGACAGAGTGAAACTCCATCTAAAAGTAAAAAAAAAAAAAAAAAGAAAGGTAGATTGATGGAACGAACTAAAAAATGATCCAAAAATATTATGCTTACAAGAAACATATAGACACATACAGACTGAAAAGTAAAGACACATACAGATTTAAAGTAAATGGGTGAAAAAAGATACTCCATGTAACGGAGACTAAAAGCAAGCAGGAATAGCTATACTTATATCAAGTAAAACAGAACTTAAATCTAAAACAGTATAACAATGACAAAGGAAGTCATTACATAATGATAAAGGGATCAATTCAGCAAGAGGATATAACAATTCTAAACACATATGCATCCAACACTAGACCACCAAGATTCATCAAATAAATATTACTAGACATAAAAAAGGAATAGACAGCAATACGATAATACTGGGGGACTTTACCATCTCACTCACAGCATTAAATGTTATCATCAAGACAGAAAACAAATAAACCTAAGACTTAAATTCAACCTTAGATGAAATAGACCTAACTGACATTTACAGAAAATACTACCCAGCAACTACAGAATATACATTCTTAATAAAACCGCAATTTCACCCAACAATCCCACTACTGGAGATCTACCCAAAGGAGAACAGATAATTGTATGAAAAAGGTATCTGCACCCATATGTTTATCACAGCACTATTCACAATAGCAATGTGTCCCTCAGTGGATGATTACATTAATAAATCTGGCATATATGCGCTATAGAATACTATTCAGCTATACAAAAGAATAAAATCATGTCTTTTGTAACAACATGGATGTAACTGGTCATTATTTTAAGTGAAACAAATCAGACACAGAAAGACAAATACTGCATGTTCTCACTTATAACTGGAAGCTAAATAATGTATACACATGGACATAGAATGTGGAATGATAGACAACAGAGACTTGGAAATTTCAGGAGGGTGGGAGGAGGGGATGATGAGAAATTATGTAATGAGTACAATGTACATTTTTCAGGTGATGTATATTCTAAAACCCTTACTTCAACACTACGTACTTTATGGAGGTAATAAGATTATATTTGTATCCCACAAATTTACGTAAATAAAAAATTGCCTTCTGTACTTACTTTAGCCCAGTTATTGTTAGGTTCAACATTCAGCACTTTACTTAAATTTTCTATAGCTTTCTGGACCTTTTTTTGATATTTATATATAGTAGTGTGGCACAGAAGTGCTAATATTTACCAAAATAAAAGTTATATTTTTAATTAAAAATTAATTAAAAGGTTGTAGAATCTCAGGATGGAATGCAGACTGTTACAAATTTATCTAGCTCTATTATGAACCATACAAAATAACTTCAGTGAGGGACTTAAGGGAAAGGGTGCTAGTCAAAGTGATATTGAAAATGAGTGCAGTCTCTTAAGATGAAAGGCAAAAGAAACTTGTACGAAGGCATTTAATTTAGTTGATAAAGATGTTCTTCTACTAAGGGCAGGTTATCAATTCTGGTACAGCTATATACATATACTGGAAGTGAACAATTAACTAAATAGATGTCACAAAATAAGAGTCAGGATTTTTATTGTTGGAGTGGGGGTTTAGAGATACAGGAAGGCATTGATGCTTGCGGGACTAGGTTAGAGGTAGTGACATCAGTAAGAACCCATGTTTAGCTTAATATAGACATAGATGGTGATATGGTTTACATTTTGTCCCCTCTCAAACCTCTCGTCCAATTGTAATCGCCAGTGTTGAAGGAGGGGTCTAGTGGGAGGGGATTGGATTATGGGGGCAGATTTCCTCCTTGCTGTTCTTGTGATAATGACTTAGTTCTCACACAATCTGGTTGTTTAAAAGTGTGTAGCATCTCCCCCTTAGTTCTCTTCCTCCTTCTCCAGCCATGTAAGATGTGCCTGCTTCCTCTTTGCCTTCTGCTATGACTGTACGTTTTCTGAGGCTTCCCCATCCTTGCTTCCTGTACAGCCTGTGCAACTGTGAGGCAATTAAAGCTCTTTTCTTTATAAATTACCTAGGATCAGGTAGTTCTTTATAACAATGGGATAATGGACTAATATAGATGTTTACATATAGAAATATTTAAAGATATGTGTCTACATATGTGTAAGAATATACACATTGTTTCTTTGCTCTCTCATCTTAGAGAGCTATGAAAAAATTGATATTCCCTTAGCTACAGGCACAGCTAGCACTTAAATATTGATTTCATATATAGAAAGCAGGGCGTCTTTGAAAGTGGCTGATTCTAAGAATGGGGAAGAAAATACACAAGATGAGCCTGGGACATCCTCTAGTGCCAGAAATTATGAAAATACTAACAAAAATCTATTTGTGAGATATGTCAAACAAGCACAGGGGCCAAGTGAAAGGTCTTTCAATTTCTAGAATAATTTTAGCAACACAATACATTAATTGGTATTATATTTGGATTATACCCAAAAATGTAATTTTCCTTAGTCCATATTGATATCAATAAATGACTGAATAAACAAATGAATGAGATAAAAGAGGTAAATCTCCTCTGCAAATAATTTACATATGTATTCCAACTAAAGGAAGTCAGCTCTTAAAGACATCTTAAGCAATACTGCAACTGAATTAGCTTTCCAAAGATACTGTCACAATTCATCTATTCCAAGACCTATACATTTCATATTTTAATATCTCCTGAAAATATAATGCATTTTACAATTCAGTGGTATGTCTTAGTTTAATTAGCCACAATGCGAATTACTTGCTTAACGGGACATAAAATAGTGCATTATACAATCTATGGGCTCTTGGACTCAAGAAAATACGATAGAAAGGAGTTTATGTTAGAGTCTGCGCACTGACTAAAGATCAGAGCAGAAAGCAGATTCTAGGAACAGTCACATTTGTGGCAGTCACTGGTCTCGGCATGCAACAAAATTCAAAGTAAATAGTGGTAAGGTGGGAAATGGACAAAGCTATGTAGCTAGAATCAGAAGTCCTTGAAATCAAAACATCAAGATTCAAACTATTTAGGGGCAGTGGGGCTGACGTGGTGACCGTGGGCCTGATCAGATAAAACCTTTACAAAGAAACAGTAGCTCTCAGACTCACCTCCTGAGACAGAGTTGTTCTGAGGGGAAAATGGGTAAGTTTCCACAGTAACATACAGTACTTAAACATACAGTAAGATACAGTACTTAAAGCCCTGACCTGTCCAGTTCCCAACACATCTTTCTTGATGGGCACCTAAATGTCACCTTTTGGTTTTATTTTTGTGTTTTTCTCATCTAAGCTCGGAGAGCAAAGCCTGACAGGGTGAGCCCCCAAAGTGTGTTCATGTCTTAAGAGTGTCCAGAAGCCACCTAGGGAGTGTGCAAGTTTTTCATTTTCATGCCAGGGACAATGTCTCTCTTTATTGAGCTAATGGCAAGGTATGGGCCTCAGAATATGTACAGTTTGAACATATTTGCATCTTCCCTTTAATTAACTGTGAAATCTGTGAGGCTAATGAGAAGAAAATTGATGGGTAGTCGGTGGAAGAATTTTTTTTTCATTGTCATATCTTCAACTTTCCTGGGGTATAATAAGAGATGCACAGTCAATTCAGTATACTTGAAATGTGTGATGTGGTCAAATTTGAGATAGATATATATATATATGTATATACTTTTGGAAATATCACTACATTCACAACCATCATTATGAAAAGTTTTCTTGTGCACCTCAGTAATCAGTCTCTCCCTCCATGCTGTCTCCAGGCAGCCATTTGATTTTCCATCAGGTAACATGAGTGAGAAGAAAATGTCTGTTGCAAGCTATTGAAATTTTGTGGTTGTTCACTTTTTAGAAACTCTTTGGAATTTTCTTTCTCATATCTTTATTAACATATAAAGTGTCTGTCTGGCATACTTTCAGATAATGTAAATAATATACTCAGCAATTGTTTTGTGCTGGGCTTCCATTTAATCTTTCAAGATCATATGGATTTTTATAGCTTTATATGTTGTGTTTGGCATCTTAAGCTCACTATCTACCTACTGACTCTTAAATCCCAAACTCTAAAGAGGTTCTGAAGATTCCAAAGATGCTATTCACATCCGGTAAGTTTAGGGCAGGAAAACTGGTAAACCTCCTATAACATGAGGCTAGAGCCCACAACAAAATTATCAGGTCCAAAAATGTCAATAGTATTGAAGGTGAGACAATTTCTAGGGAGATATTACACCTTGATATTCTCATTTAATATGCTGGTAATGTAATCCAGCATTTTTCCAAAAATGAGAATAGCCTGGTGGCCTTAAATGTCATTGTTTTACTCTTACTTACATTGGACTAAAGAATGAGTTCAAATGCAGCTGAATAATTTGGATATTTAAAGCAATAACATTTTTCACTAACGCGCATAGGCTTAATGCCTGGGTGACAAAATAATCTGTATACCTATTTACCTATAGGTTTACCTATATAACAAACCTGCACATATACCCCTGAACTGAAAATAAAAGTTAATAAATAAAGTAATTACATTTGTTTAGAAATAAAATAAATTTAGAAATGGAAAATATTGTTGAAAATATTCTAAGAATTTTAAATTTATACATTAAAATAAAAATAATCTGAATATTATTACCAACAGAAAATCTTTGTCTTGATCTCAAATTCCAAGTAGAATACCTTTAGACTATCTCTAGCAATAGCTAACAGAATAAGATTTACAAATCTTGATAGATCATTTTTCATGCCTGTGTCATTTTAAAATGAATTGATGGCTGTTAAAACTTAATTTAATTTGAGTCTCTTCCGGATCATATACATAGTTTTACAGACAGCCATGTTCAATGAAATTATAATATGTAACACAAGAAATATGCCAGATGTAAAGTAAGAATCTCTTTTAAACGCTCTGATATTCAAAAATCTTTATCAGATTTCCTAAACTAACGATTTTAAACAAAACCTTTTAGTTAAGAAAGCATTGGTCTCAATAGTAAATCTGCCAATATGAATTGCTGCATTTTATTTTTGAACTTTCTAAAGGCCATCTGCCAGAGTAATTAGATATAAAATCCTGCATGCAATCTAATATTAGATGAAAAGTTTAAACTACCAATGATACAATATTGATGCACAGAGGAATGAATTGATTTTTTATGTTATTCTCAAATTGAAAGTCAATCTTTTTATAAAATAAATTTATAAATAAATCCAAATATGATATTTTAGCTCACTTTTGACAGTAGGTTTTCAGTTTCTGATGTTAACAATGGCATAATTATGATTTGCTGAATGACTTTAAAGTGATCGGATAAGGAAACAATTAGGGTTTGCAGTAGCTGGAGAAAGAAAAAAAAGAAATATTTAGATATTGCATACTCAATATGGCACATACTACGTCACAGGCTTTAATATCAGTTGACTACTCTCTTTAGAAGGAGTACGGTTTGACCTAGACCAGTTTATTTATTCATTTTTGTAATAATTTTTCCTCATTCTCTTTGACACATTGGTTAACCTAAAATTACTGTGTTGCTTAGGACATTGACTAAAAATCGTAGTCTTTCAGTTTGTGGCTGCTCACAGGATTTTTTTTTTTTTTTTGCTTTGGCTTACTAAATAATCTTTTATTGGAGTTAAAACAACAAAGCTAGTAAAGATATATAAATCAATGCCAAAAAAAAGGAGACAGGCCTACTTATATGCCATTATCTTCTGTTATTGCCGTTGGATAGAAGACAGACATTATCATTTTTAATCAATTGTATACTTCATAAATATGATACAACAGATATTTTTACTTCCAAGATTATACATAGAGTTTTTATGATTCCTTTGTGAGTGTGAACTATATAGCTGTCCCTAAAACATAATTGAGAACAGAAAGGTTTTATTTTTAATTATATAATTTTCTTGCCCAAGTTATATGGATTCATAGGTTACAGAATGTATAACAATATACATTTTTTGCATTTTTAAATTTACTGTATAATTTATTTCTGAAACCAAATTTGATATACAACTATGTAAACCATTAAATATGATCTGGATTAAAATAATCTTAACAGACAAATCCAAAAACACTGCATTTTATTATTTCTATTTCTAATGTTACCTCCAGGTTTAGACTCCCCTAAGTAATTGACTCTACCTATTATGTTTGTGTTTTGAAACATCACTCTATATTGTAACAAAAAGAAAAATGACACAATTAGTTTCCTATATGTACACAAAAATTTTCAGTTTTAAATAAGGAAATATAGTTTTGAAATTTAAAAAAGTAAATGTTATAATATTTTCTCAAATAATTTACTACTCATATTCCCATTGCTTAGTTTCATTAATTTTTACACTCACATTTTACATATCCAAGATATATTTCCAGCTTTATTTTCAGAATGAACTGCTAGGATCTTAGATGAGTTTATTATTTTGCACGAGGTGCCACTGCTTGACACCTGACTGTGTGTATACCCCCCCCTTTTTTTTTTATATACTTTTAAGTTTTAGGGTACATGTGCACAATGTGCAGGTTAGTTACATATGTATACATGTGCCATGCTGGTGTGCTGCACCCACTAACTCGTCATCTAGCATTAGGTATATCTCCGAGTGCTATCCCTCCCCCCTCCCCCCACCCCATAACAGTCCCCAGAGTGTGATGTTCCCCTTCCTGTGTCCATGTGTTCTCATTGTTCAATTCCCACCTATGAGTGAGAACATCCGGTGTTTGGTTTTTTGTCCTTGCGATAGTTTACTGAGAATGATGATTTCCAATTTCATCCATGTCCCTATAAAGGACATGAACTCATCATTTTTTATGGCTGCATAGTATTGCATGGTGTATATGTGCCACATTTTCTTAATCCAGTCTATCACTGTTGGACATTTGGATTGGTTCCAAGTCTTTGCTGCCCAAGGTAATTTATAGATCCAATGCCATCCCCATCAAGCTACCAATGACTTTCTTCACAGAATTGGAAATAACTACTTTAAAGTTCGTATGGAACCAAAAAAGAGCCCGCATTGCCAAGTCAATCCTAAGCCAAAAGAACAAAGCTGGAGGCATCACGCTACCTGACTTCAAACTATACTACAAGGCTACAGTAACCAAAACAGCACGGTACTGGTACCAAAACAGAGATATAGATCAATGGAACAGAACAGAGCCCTCAGAAATAACGCCGCATATCTACAACTATCTCATCTTTGACAAACCTGAGAAAAATAAGCAATGGGGAAAGGATTCCCTATTTAATAAATGGTGCTGGGAAAACTGGCTAGCCATATGGAGAAAGCTGAAACTGGATCCCTTCCTTACACCTTATACAAAAATTAATTCAAGATGGATTAAAGACTTAAACGTTAGACCTAAAACCATAAAAACCCTAGAAGAAAACCTACGCATTACCATTCAGGACACAGGCGTGGGCAAGGACTTCATGTCTAAAACACCAAAAGCAATGGCAACAAAAGCCAAAATTGACAAATGGGATCTAATTAAACTAAAGAGCTTCTGCACAGCAAAAGAAACTACCATCACAGTGAACAGGCAACCTACAGAATGGGAGAAAATTTTCGCAACCTACTCATCTGACAAAGGGCTAATATCCAGAATCTACAATGAACTCAAACAAATTTACAAGAAAAAAACAAACAACCCCATCAAAAAGTGGGCGAAGGACATGAACAGACACTTCGCAAAAGAAGACATTTATGCAGCCAAAAAACACATGAAAAAATGCTCACCATCACTGGCCATCAGAGAAATGCAAATCAAAACCACGATGAGATACCATCTCACACCAGTTAGAATGGCAATCATTAAAAAGCCAGGAAACAACAGGTGCTGGAGAGGATGTGGAGAAATAGGAACACTTTTATACTGTTGGTGGGACGGTAAACTAGTTCAACCATTGTCGAAGTCAGTGTGGCGATTCCTCAGGGATCTAGAACTAGAAATACCATTTGACCCAGCCATCCCATTACTGGGTATATACCCAAAGGATTATAAATCATGCTGCTATAAAGACACATGCACACGTATGTTTATTGCGGCACTATTCACAATACCCCATTCTTTAGACTTTTAAAATCAATACCCACTCTTCCCCACGAACAAGAGAAAGTAAAAACAACTAACAGTGGATTTCTGTATCACGATGACTCATTTTCAATAGAACACTACCATAGGTCAAATGGATGAATGCATAAATAATGAATGGATTAATATCTTTTACATAATCATGTGCCACATAACAACGTTTACATCAATAAGAGACAGCATGTAAAACAATGGCTCATTAAGATTATAATAGGGTTGAAAAATTGCTATCACCATTATAGATTGATCACTCTATGAAGTTTGCACAGTAAGATAATCACCTAGCCACACACTTCTCAGAACATATCCTCATTGCTAAGTGACACAAGGCTGTATTTCATTTAATGATTGCGTAAATAGTTGTTGAGAAAAATCTGCACTCTAAGTACCAGGATAAAAGAGATTAATAATAAATTAATGATTAAATGCACCATGATCAATCTTATCATTGAGGTCTATATGCTACATTTGGATTACATCGTAAAGGCAGAGGTTAATCATCGCAACTTACACAACAGGATACAGAGTGGATCAGCAGATAATTACATAATAGAATACAGTTTGAAACCTGCAAGATGCATTAGAATTAATTAGAATCAAACCATATGTGTGACTTTGGTTTAAATGTGCAAAACCTATTAATATAGATATAGCCAGGACATTTCTATTGTGTGTGTGTATATATATATATATATATATATATAGTGTGTGTATATATATATACACACACACACATATACATGTATATATACATACATACATATATATATTTTATATATATATATATATATATATATATATATATATATATATATATTTTGTGTGTGTGTGTGTGTGTGTGTGTGATGGAGTTTCGCTCTTGCTGCCCAGGCTGGAGTGCAATGGCATGGTTTCAGCTCACTGCAACCTCCGCTTCCAAGGTTCAAGCAATTCTCCTGCCTCAGCCTCCCAAGTGGCTGGAATTACAGGGGCCAACCACCACACCAGGCATATCTTTGTATTTTTAGTAGAAACTGCTTTCACCATGTTGGCCAGGCTGGTCTCGAACTCCTGACCTCAAGTGATCTACCCCCTCGGCCTCCCAAAGTGCTGGGATTACAGGTGTGAGTCACTGTACCCAGTTTGTCTTTATAAATCTTATAGAAATATTTAACTTTTAAAATCAACCACACACAATTAAGACTTTGATAAAAGTAATTAAGAAGTAAAGCAATGGAAAAAGCAATTTTTAAAAACATATATGAATGATTGAAAGCCAGGAGTAAAATTAAGAATTGTATTAAAATATCACTATTAAAATTAGCTACATAAATATTTAATTAATGCAGCTAAATTGTTAACAAAATTTACAGAAGAAAAGTATGTTAACATTACTGAATCATCTTAAAATCTTATTAAAATTTAAAGTTCTTCTCAACTGAAATTATATCACAGAAAAAAATAATGTCACCTTAAAAAGTTTAGGATTAGAAATACATAATTATTTTTAAATATAGTCTTTATATATTAATTATATTTCATTAATGTCTTATTTCTTGAATAAACTTTTTTCATGATACTATTTAAGTGCCACATTCTACAATAATATGGAAAACAATTCTACAAAATGTGGCATACAGTAATTGATAGGTAGTATAGCACACCTTTTATCTCTTTATAGCAAAAACATAATGTGTAAATTAATATAACACTAAGTCCCATATTGTCATTTTTTGTCAAAGAGCTATCTCCTTGAAAACCATCATCCTCAGATGCATCTCTAACTTCAAAAAGACCTTAGAAACTGTAACAATTGTAAATGCGTTATAACTTAAAGAGATATTATCTTCACATTAGAGGCTAACAGGCTTATACCTACTGATAGCTGACAAGTATTATAGGAATCCTGGCAGGCAAATTGTTGCATAAAAATTATGTAATTTACTAACTGTAAAATAACCTTTAGAGTTTAGAATCAGTCAGATAAGTAGAACAGACAATTGTTATCAAAGCCATATAAATGGCTATTAAAATTATTTTTTGCTACCCTCATTTTATCTCTGAAGAGACATCTTGTTAAAAAATGAATAACAGACACATATAAATACCTAATTACAAGCAGAGTTAAGATTAAAATTCAGCCTCATTAGGGGTGGGATAGAAATCAGTACACTAAAGAATATTTTGGTGCAGGTAGTTTGTTTCAAATGATTCAACCTTCAACATTACTTCACTTAAATTTTAGCAAACTTTCTGCTATAATTTAAGCATACAGACCTATGACACTAGACATATGTCCTGTGTAAGCCTGGGCTAGGGGAGCTCTATTTAATACTTACATAAACCCCAAAGATGTCCTAAGAAATAAAATTTGGAAAAACTTTGATGTGCTACAGCACGGATTTTCTCCTACAGCAACAGAGCAGACACTTGAATGTAGTTATACTCCTGCTTTCCACCTCCCTGTCAAAACAATAAAAAAGGCCACAGGCCTGTGGTTCTGGCCTCCAGGGAACTGGTGGCTTCTTTAACCCACACTGCTGCTGCTGAATCCCATTTAGGTTTAGGGTTTATTTTGTATATGCCTTTGTACAGGCTAAATGCTGGTCTAGTTGAAAATCAACCTAAAACAACCTTAATAGCATCTCATTTTATTGTGACTTTACTTTTTGTGTTGTTTGGTGTTTTACTTTTGGAGACAGAGTCTTAATCTGTCACCAAGGCTGGAGTGCAGTGGCATGATTATGGCTCAACCTCCAGGCTCAAGTGACCCTCCCACTTCAGCCACCTGAGTAGCTGATACCACAGGAACATGCCACCACATAAGGCTAACTTAAAGAACATTTTTTTAGATGGGATCTCACTATGTTGCCCAGGCTGATCTTGAGCTCTTTGCCCCAAGCAATCCTCCCACCTTGGCCTCCCAAAGTGCAGGGATTATAGGTGTGAGCCACTATGCCAGGCCTCTCTCATGACTTTAAACTTGAACATGCTTTTGTGCTGTGGCCGAGTTTAGGATCCCAACCAGCCTGTGATTACTGTGGTCACCACACAGATTCCCTCTTGTTCCATCTTTTATATTCCATCTTCTCACTCTCATAACTGTGTGGATAGGAAAACAATTATCCATACAGGTATGATATTGGCAGAGAAAATCACAAAATGTTTTAATGAGCAAACACTTTGGGGATGGTAATAATCTTTCTACCACCTTCATTGTCTTGTTTAAGTATCTCTACATTCTTCTTTAAAAATTAGGAATATATCTTTCTTGCTCTTTCGTTGTTGTTGAACACCAGAAGGGGATATTCCTTAATTCTCTCTCCATAGCTAAGGACAGTACAGCACAATATTCCATTCAGCAGGTGAAGTCAGTATGAATGAATGCATTTCAATCAGCAAATTGCTGGTTGTGTTGCAACTCCTAGTTATGATGTTTTGTGTACTTTGAAGGGCTCCCATTAATTAAGGTATTTCTTATAAGCATTCAGAAAGTTTCTTTTCTTGGCATGCGACTTGAAAATTTGTCCTGATATTTTCCCTGTGACAATGTTTTGTGAATTGTAACTCAGCCACTTAAGTGGCTCCTCATAATAAAGCCACATGGTATCCATGTACACATATTTAACAAATCAAAGAAGTGGTTCTCAACCTAATCTCTAGAGGAGGTCCTTCTTGTTCACTTTCAATAACTATGTTGAAGAATAGATTCTAAAAAGCTATCACCAAATTTTCGAATATGTTTTGAAATTTGTGTCCACAAAATCTATAAATCAATAAATGTATAGAATAGAGCATAATAATCCAATTAACAAATTTAAGATGTCATCTAAGCAGGAATGAATGCAATAAATAGGCCTTCTTACTTCAAAATCAACTGCAGAGGCAATGCATTGCCACTAGACTTGTGTGCTGTGTTGGTAATAAATTAACAAAAACTTTGGGGATAAGAAAAATCTGCAAATAAAATGGTGTGTCATTTGTGAAATATAATCACAAAAATGTTCAGATTGTTATAATTAACAGAAAAACTATTGTTTTTATTATATCCAGTGTTTAACAGACACTATTCATGTATACATACAACATTCTTATAATAACTCTTGTGTCCATGTAAATAGCAGTCTTGCCAAAAAGAATTGATTATCATGTAGTAGTTTGTAAGTATTTTCATGCATAGGCTGCAACCCTTTAGAGTGCTATTCTAATAAATTATTAATATTAACTTGATGAACACAATTCTAAGACATTTCATTTGAGGATATGTTTATTAACTATTAGGTTGGTACAAAAGGCATTGCGTTTTTTGCCATTACTTTCAATAAAAAATAGAACCAGCATTTAGAAATCTACTTTCAGAAACTTAATAAAATGAGAATTTGTCCTCTTTTACATATAGGAAGCCTGCATAATAAGCATTCTGTTGCTAGTACATAAGCTTCCCATTTTCATCAGGAAACTATACACTTACATTTCACTTTTACTAACTTCAATGCATGACTTCTATCTTCAAGGTGATTTCATGCTTCTAGCCACCATGTCTGTACTCCAGGACAGCAGCACAAAGTGTAGAAAAATAAAAAAGACATACCTCCCTAATGAGTCAACTGCACTTAAGGAGCCATCCCAGAAGTTTCACACGGCTTATTTGAATACAGCTATATCCAGATGCAAGGAATGCTGGGAAATGTGGTATTGTGCGCAGCTAAAGTTGGGATTATGTTAGTGAAAATGAGACCACGAACATTGGAAGGTTAAAAGCAATCTCTCATGACATATACAATTACAGAAATTAAATTAAATCTTTAAGCAATGTGATAAACCTATGGAATGTTAACAGGCAAAAATAGCAACATTAAAAATTACAGTGAGGGAATAAGGTATGATTCGTTTGTAGATGGTTTGTGTGTCATTAATCTAGGCAAAAAGTCATAAACTCCTCTAACAGTGACCACATGTATAAAAGAAATAATAATACACACTATGGCTAACAACATTCCATTTTGGCCTATTTACTGTTGTTAAGTCTCTATGGTTAGCATCAGAAATGTACAGTTTTGATAGCCTATGACCTCAACATGTTCAGTTTGATAGTAGAAAGGACAACATAAAGACAAACCAATCAACAAATAAGAATAAAAACTGTTAAAAAAAGGACAATATTATCATAAGAACATAAGGATGTGATAATGTATTTGACATATCGTTTATTTATTGTTTTATAGTTGGATAATACATATAAATTTACTGCTCCTTCAATGTTAGAATCAATAGAATCATAGCAGAAGTAATTAAGCAGATAAAGATCAAAACGTCACCTTTATTACTTACTGTTTGAAAAATAGTCTAAGGCTGGTTTTACAGGGTTGCTCCTATCCATCACCTGATGTGAAGTTTCTTAGGAAGCTTCAGGACTACACCAAAGAAGCAGAACCTGCTCTTTCACTCTGTTGCATTGTGTGGAGTGCAGGCCATCATGACTGCTCTCTACAAGAAAAAGAAAGGAAATAATTAAGAAACGCACAAAAGTTTGTGAATTGAGAATCCCAAAATAGGTATGAAATTGGTTAGCTTTCTAAATTCACCAATCTCATAACTAACACCTGTCCCCATGCAGTGAATGAGTAAAGGATGGACAGACTCCATAATGATTATTCTAGGGAAAGCCTTCTGAGTAGAAAGAGGAGAGTTTTGCAAACAGTTTTGTAGAGTTTACTCTTGTTTATGCACTGATAATAAATAAGAGTTCCTAAAATTCTCTCTAGAACTCTAGGTAAATGAGATATTTCACTGCTCATGCTGTGTGACCTTCATGTCCCATCTGCCTAGACTGTAAATATGCTTTCTGAAGTTTAAAAGAATTAGTATACTATGCTTACATTAAGCAAAAAAGTACCCTTATTGTGCAGGATCAAGTAACACTCTAAAGATTCATGTTTATGAAAAAACACTGATGATTCTATTTTATTATGTGTCTTCTAAAGAGAAAAATACTTGTGCTCTGCAGCATAATTTTACAATGTGCTATTCTAAATACTTTCATTTAAACAAGACCATTATGAAAATGTTTTGCACACAGAAATATATTTTGAATACTTTTTTAAAAAGATCACAAAGTATATGGTCTCTGTACGTGTTCAATTATTTTAATGCTTTCACTATAACAGGAATTCTTAAAGAGGATATGTACTTGCATAATGCTGATAATTCTTTCTCATTTCTGTTTGTGCTTTGGCTGTTGTTACAACCACTGAAAGTAGTAATTACATGAGTGTATTATCCATGATTATCTTTAGATATATGTGCATTTTCTTTAATTAAACTATAAACTCTAAATGAAAAATAAAAAAGAAGTCACCTCTTGTCTCTTTGTACAATATTAAAATTTTTTTCTTGTATCCAGAGTTTCCCAAATGCCTGTTGCAAAATTTTACTTAGGGAGTAGAAAGTGGAGAATCAATATGGTAAAAAAAACTGTGTTACAGGGAAGGAGACACAGGGTAAGCATTTTCCTTATCTTCTCTCCTGTATCTACGTGCTGCACAAGCATAAATGATAGCAGTCACATGAACGAGTACTTTTCAAGAACGTAGAATATGGTGATGGAAAAAAAAAACCGCTTTGAAACATCGAATAATATAAAAGCCAGAACTACTACAACTATTTTTTACATCCATAGAAGGTAAACTATTTTTAGATATAAAATTCCTTCTGACGGTAGTCCTGATCATTTAACCAATATTTTGATAAATCAAAGAAGGGAAAAATGGACATTCAGTCCAAAGATGGGCATGTATTCCCATGCCCAGTCAGGCAAAACTTGTGGATGTTCTTTAAAATAACAATTCATTCAACAAATAATTTTTAAATGGCTACTGAATACCTGGAAAGGTTCTAGACACAGGGGCTATAGTAAGAAACAAGAAGGAACTAATTGACAAGAATGTGCTCACCGACAATGAAACATCTCCTCATGGAGCTTGAGTTCTGTTTGAAAAGACAGAGAACAAAAAAATATTATTGCACAGAGTGTTAGTTATGTGTGAATTAAAAGACTGGTCAGTACTTGAAGGAGAAGGAGTGACAACAAATCTCACTTCCAGTTCTATTTACCTGAACAGATTAATTCTATTTTGTTTCAATGCAACAGTAGTCCTACGGTTAACAAGATGCACTACACAAAGCAAACAACTTATAAAACGCATTTTTTCCTTATATTGCAAATCAATTTTAAGTGGATCTACAAATATACAATAAATAATATAAATTACGGATCGTTTGTTTCTAAGGTAATAAGTACATTTGTTAATTTCACATAAATAATTTCAGAAGGAGAGCAAATGTAAAAATGTGTTTTAGACAGTGGAGATGCCATTTTATTGTAAGACTATTTATACTCAAAGGACAAAGTAATCAGCTTTCTATGTCAATGATCGTCCTTCTCTATTTCACCCAGTTCCAGACAAACCCAAGTCTTCCAAGTCTCTTCATATATCTGATCCAATAAAATCTATAATGAGTTCAGTTAGCATACACACACACACACACACACCACACACACACAAGCACACAAACACACACACATGACTGCATTGAAATACTTGCTCTAGGGAAGGAACATAGTGTATATGCAACTTGTGTACTTTCTAAGTATGGGAAGACTAATCCTTTAACAACTGCATTTACTTTCTTTCACTTCTATCGTTGCTATCTACTCCTCAGAAATCTACTTAAACAACCAATAAATATATATGATGTTGTTATGAGAGTTTTGGAAATAATTCCTAAAAATTTGCATGGTTGCCTCTTTATATTTGGCAGCTTCTATCACCCATGGGAACAACCCCTACAGAATGATCAGAATATAAAGCATGTGAGCCCTGGGTTTCTCAGGCACTGGAAGGACCTGTCAGAATCCTCTCAGGTGGGTCAAAATGGCCAGGCTTTATAACCTCATCTCCATTCGTGTTTGCATGTCCAGTGCTCCAGGATGCCCTAACATTGAGCCAGACAATGGTTACAGCTGAGGCAAACTTTGAAGGAGCTGAGAGCTGAAGGCTGCTTTGTAATATTGCTCCTAGCAGCCAAGGGGGAAAGAAATCTTTTCTTGAAGAGCGATCTGTGTCCATAGCAAAATGTTTTTTTCTTAGCTCTTGTAAAATCGAAATTGTTTGCTTTTGAATTTTTTTAAATGATTCCTTTAAGATTCTTAATACCAAGATATCACAAGGTCAAGGAATTTTATAAAGAAGTATTTCTATTTATGTAATTTCCTAAATTTATCTATACACAAATCAGCACTAAAACATGCCTTTGATACTAACAACTTGATCCGTTTGTGAACCAAATCTGTCATGCAAATACATACGGCTGTTTTTAGATAAATTCTAAAGGTATTACCAAATCATTTAATTTTATTGTGTATCTCAATATTCTGGTTGATGTATAAGTTTAAATAGAACAAACTATTTGACATTGAAATGTTCTTTATCAAAGGAGAAGGAATACAATTTTAAAGCCACAACGAGTGACACATAGTTCTGAATGATTTATTGGCTGTCTGCCATTCTGAAATGGCTGCCAGTCAATGTTACATGTGACATCTTTCAGATAGTGTGAACTCTTTTATGCAAGCACCTTTCACTATAAAATTACAGCTGGAGATCATGAAGAGAAAAGTGTGGTGTTTATCTTAATGGGCTGAAAGACCTATTTCAACAGTTACAGTAATTCAGAAAAATAGTCTGAAGTCTAGTATTTCAATAATGTTATTTTCATAGATTTTAATCTCTAAAGACAATGCTTCACTTTTGTAGAAAATGACTTTTCTAATCATCCTGGATTTCAAAATTCTTTCCATTACTTAATATTTAAATCACTGGCAGAACTTGGCATGAGGACTAGAGAGCTGTCACCAAGCAGCCAGTCATTTTTCTTGGCTTCCCATATGCCATGCCCAGCAATAGAGCATTTCTTAGTAGCTGAGGAATAGCAGCAGTGCTAAACACAGAGATGACATTAACAGGAATGAGAGGGTCCAAGCTGTTTTCCTAGACTAATTCTCATTCAGCCTGAATTCAAAGCATTTTCCTATCATTATCATAGATATTTCGCTTGTGGTATTATCTATCTTTTGGCAATGTTGATTTTTTTCTGATTATCCAAATAAGTAATGTTAATGGAAAAAATCAGATATTAGGGGAAAAAAAACTCTAGAAATAAATGTTAACCCAAGACAATAACAATTCAATTAATTTATATGATACCTTAGGGATTGTGTCAATTATTTTTTAAATGAAATTCAAAAAATTCAACACCTGTGTTTTCTCCTATGATTACAAATTCAACCAGGGCACAATTGTAAATGGTTGTATTTGGTTGAATTTTTAGATTGTTTATAAGTTTTACTCTTGCAGACAATAATAATGGAGTTTCTTTGAAAATAAATTTAGTTGTTCTATAACCAAGGCATAAATATTCAATTCAATAAAATTAGCAAAAATATTAAATGAAAAGTATATTATATATAAAATGCATAAATAAAATATCCTGCACTGATCATTTTATGTCTATGGTTACCCTATTGATTCTGTGCACATTTGCATATGGGTATATATGCAATTTTATACAATGAAGTATTAATAGTGTACATAAATTTAGTAATTATTTTACCCCTTAAAAGTATATGCAATGAGTGTCACTTATATATAAATTCTGTTAACGTGGAAGAAGAATGTTAGTCAAAAAAACTACGAATTTAACAATTTTCTGGTTAATTCAAAGGGCTTTCCAAAAATGTCTTTTAAAATTCAATTTCATTTATTTTCTCATAGCAGAATATGAGAATGAATCTTTTTTGCTGCAAATTGGCTAGCAATAAATTTTTATTTTTATTATTTTAATTCTGTGAATTTCGGGAATGGAGTCTCATTCAGTATAAATATTATAATACTAATGAGATTGACTCCCTCCTTCTTATTAACAGTGTGCATTTTTACCCTCCGTGATTCAGTGCATGGTGTAGTGCTATAATTAAAAATGAACATTTTTTTTAAATTTTATTATTATTATATTTCAAGTTTTAGGGTACATGTGCACAATGTGCAGGTTAGTTACATATGTATACATGTGCCATGCTGGTGTGCTGCACCCATTAACTCGTCATTTAGCATTAGATATATCTCCTAATGCTTTCCCTCCCCCCTTCCCCCACCCCACAACAGTCCCCAGCGTGTGGTGTTCCCCTTCCTGTGTCCATGTGTTCTCATTGTTCAATTCCCACCTATGAGTGAGAACATGCGGTCTTAGGGTTTTTGTCCTTGCGATAGTTTACTGAGAATGATGATTTCCAATTTCATCCATGTCCCTACAAAGGACATGAACTCATCATTTTTTATGGCTGCACAGTATTCCATGGTGCATATGTGCCACATTTTCTTAATCCAGTCTATCATTGTTGGACATTTGGGTCAGTTCCAAGTCTTTGCTATTGTGAATAGTGCCGCAATAAACATACGTGTGCATGTGTCTTTATAGCAGCATGATTTATAGTCCTTTGGGTATATACCCAGTAATGGGATGGCTGGGTCAAATGGTATTTCTAGTTCTAGATCCCTGAGGAATCGCCACACTGACTTCCACAATGGTTGAACTAGTTTACAGTCCCACCAACAGTGGAAAAGTGTTCCTATTTCTCCACATCTTCTGCAGCACCTGTTGTTTCCTGACGTTTTAATGATTGCCATTCTAACTGGTGTGAGATGGTATCTCACTGTGGTTTTGATTTGTCCTCTCTCACCACTCCTATTCAACATAGTGTTGGAAGTTCTGGCCAGGGCAATTAGGCAGGAGAAGGAAAGAAAGGGTATTCAATTAGGAAAAGAGGAAGTCAAATTGTCCCTGTTTGCAGATGACACGATTGTATATCTAGAAAACCCCATTGTCTCAGCCCAAAATCTCCTTAAGCTGATGAGCAACTTCAGCAAAGTCTCAGGTTACAAAATCAATGTACAAAAATCACACGCATTTGTATACACCAATAACAGACAGTCAGAGAGCCAAATCATGAGTGAACTCCCATTCACAATTGCTTCAAAGAGAATAAAATACCTAGGAATCCAACTTACAAGGGATGGGAAGGACCTCTTCAAGAAGAACTACAAACCACTGCTCAATGAAATAAAAGAGGATACAAAGAAATAGAAGAACATTCCATGCTCATGGGTAGGAAGAATCAATATCGTGAAAATGGCCATACTGCCCAAGGTAATTTATAGATTCAATGCCATCCCCATCAAGCTACCAATGACTTTCTTCACAGAATTGGAAATAACTACTTTAAAGTTCGTATGGAACCAAAAAAGAGCCCGCGTTGCCAAGTCAATCCTAAGCCAAACGAACAAAGCTGGAGGCATCACGCTACCTGACTTCAAACTATACTACAAGGCTACAGTAACCAAAACAGCACGGTACTGGTACCAAAACAGAGATATAGATCAATGGAACAGAACAGAGCCCTCAGAAATAACGCCGCATATCTACAACTATCTCATCTTTGACAAACCTGAGAAAAATAAGCAATGGGGAAAGGATTCCCTATTTAATAAATGGTGCTGGGAAAACTGGCTAGCCATATGGAGAAAGCTGAAACTGGATCCCTTCCTTACACCTTATACAAAAATTAATTCAAGATGGATTAAAGACTTAAACGTTAGACCTAAAACCATAAAAACCCTAGAAGAAAACCTACGCATTACCATTCAGGACACAGGCGTGGGCAAGGACTTCATGTCTAAAACACCAAAAGCAATGGCAACAAAAGCCAAAATTGACAAATGGGATCTAATTAAACTAAAGAGCTTCTGCACAGCAAAAGAAACTACCATCACAGTGAACAGGCAGCCTACAGAATGGGAGAAAATTTTCACAATCTACTCATCTGACAAAGGGCTAATATCCAGAATCTACAATGAACTCAAACAAATTTACAAGAAAAAAACAAACAACCCCATCAAAAAGTGGGCGAAGGACATGAACAGACACTTCTCAAAAGAAGATATTTATGCAGCCAAAAAACACATGAAGAAATGCTCACCATCACTGGCCATCAGAGAAAAATGAACATTTCAAAGATGTGCTTCCAAATGCCAAATCATCACTAAAAAGCTCTGTGGCATAGAGGAAATTTCACAACCTTTTAGTGCCTCAATTTTGTGGAAGAATGGTTAGGAGGCTATTGCAATAACAAAAGAAAATTTGAATAGCTGTATCCAACATGAAAAGATTGCTAGTAGAATTAAATGAGTTACTATAGGTAAAACAATCAGGGAAGTAATTAAAGAGAATCTGCACTAACATTGTTTTATTAATTTAAAATATCTGTACACAATCCTTTGACTCATTTGGAATTAGTTTTAGTGTATTTTAGAAAATAAGGTTTATTTTTTATTTTCTCCCAAAACAATTCTTCAAGACAACTTTTCGAACAGTAAATTCCTTCTTTGTTTATAATATGTATTTTAATAAAGTCACTTATCTTCATGATTTCTAGGACATCGGTTCTATCTAATCTATTGTTCAGCATTCGTCTGAGTATTTTCTGAGCAGCAATTAACCCCTCTGTACCTCTGAGTGCCCACATTTCCTTGATCCATTTCACCTTGCTGATCAATCCTTCTTTACTCATAGTCTAAATTTTTTTTTTAGAACTTCTGAGAGTGCCTCAAACCTTGGTCTTGGGTCTTCCTTCAATCTTATTTGTCTTTCCACCTGATCTTAATTATTTACATCACATTATACCCTATCTTTATGGTGACAAATCTCAAAATTATCTCTCTGACCTAAACTTATCATTAAAGATTTGGTTGCAACTTATTAAGAAGTCAGGTTCAATGTAATACATGCATTGTTGATTTAATATGCTCATCAAAATACTTAAAATTTTATTTGAATGCAAAAAAATAAAGCTTTTAATTTTATCTCCTATTTAATAATTTTGACAAAAACATTATACCAATCATTACTAATTATTGCTGGCTTTTAAAATATTATCTGATTAAATATTTTTGACTTGGAAAAATGGTAACAAATGCTTCTCTCTTTCTTGTCCCCTTGAACCATACTTGATATATTGCTTTTTCCAAATCCGGGCCACAAGTTCAGAATATAGCCTGTTAAAATATCTTCTATGTATAAACTATCTTTAAATTTTCTTGAGAGAATACTGAGTAACCAAAAGCATTGCTCCTTCACCCTACAAAAGAGAGAAAAATTAAAAAATCACATTAATTTGTAATTTTAAATGGTAATTAAAGCTATTGTGAGGGCTCTTTTATCGGCCAAACTTGTGAACAAAAAACAGCTCAAATTTATGTGTAAATAAAATATATTGAGATGAAGCCTTTCATTCAATGTGTGATTTTCAGTTCAAAAAAACACACTGATGTTCAAGAACAAAGACTGGTACAATAACTATCTACAAAATGCTTTTGTTACTAGATTTTAATTCCTTCATCAAACAGACACAGTCAAAGTTGATAGTGTCACTAGATCTAGAGGTCTATCAATATCCTTCCCACCATTTAATATGTTCTTAATCTCAGGGAAATTCTAAATCATATTCTTCTAAATTGTACAGTTGACTCCTGAAAAACACAAGGTTTAGGGCCATCAAACCTCCCTAACCCCTCCCCACCACCCCAGCACAGTCAAAAATTCACATATAACTTTGGACTCCCCAAAACTAAACTAACAGCCTACTGTTGACTGGACAATCCTTAACACATATTTCATACGCTGTATGTATTTTACACCGTAGTTTTACAATGAAGCTAGTTACAGAAAAGAAAGTGTTATTAAGAAAATTATAGGGAAGAAAAAATACGTTTACAGTACTACAGTATATTTATTTCTCTCATAAGTTTACAATCCTGTGTTTACAAGATGGATCCTTCTTCTGAAATGGCAGCACACACAGCTGCAGGCCTCAATCTAGGGTACCTATCAAGCAATTCATTGTTTTCCTGTAATGTCAGGACCCTTCTCTGTTTCCTGGAAGAACTTTCAGCATCACTAGCAGCACTTTTTATAGGTCTGAAGGTGTTATTCAAGGTTTATGGTATTGCACTAGACATCATGAATAATACAGGAGAAACATGAGAGAACACTTTTTACTGTGTTAATTTACTGGAGAGACAAGCTACTCACAAGAAGATGATTAGCATTATGTGGCATTTTAAGTGAATACTCACAACACTTGAGTTCACTGCAAGAACAACAGGTGGAGGCTAGGAAATTATCCCAGTAGTACAGTATGTACTACAGTTAATTTTGTGCAGTTATGATTTACTTTTGTATATTTTTGTTTTACTTTTCTCTAAACTTCAATTGGCTGCATGTATGCTCTGTGTTTGCCTACGTCTTGATAAATTTTAACTTTTTATAATAGACGCATATATATCTCATTGTATTAAATGATCACTAGTATCTACATATGATTTATGCATTCATGACATCGTTTTCTTAGTTTTTTAATATTTCTTGTGTAGATGGGTCACCTGTTATCTTTTTCAATTTTTCATAAATCTCCAAAAATTTTCTAATATATTTATAGGAAAAAATCTACATATGAGCAGACCTGCACAGTTCAAACCTGTGTTGTTGAGGAGTCAACTATATATTATAATTTAAGAGAGGATTCAACTCTTTCATTCTACTGGCAATGGGTTAACATAAACTTTAGTCAGAACTGCTGAGCTTTTCTGGCACAATGAGGACAAATTGACCAATGTATTTAACCAATAGCTGGAGGAAAATTTTGCTAAAATTGGTAAGTATATCTTTATATAACTATATCCTTACAACCTGTCTCAACCTTCGTCAGATTAATCCTAACAAAACTGTAAAATGTCTCAGTAAAAATCTAAATGAATTTTTCATAACAAGTGCTGGCAATAGATTTTAAATATGTTCTGATCATTATTTGTCTCTTGTTGGCATGGAGAAAATCCTTTTTTTTTTTTTCAGCCTGGGGAATCCCAAACTATATCTCTAGTAACAAGGAAACCATTTTACCGGAATTTTTATTAACATGGAAAAGTTCTGTCAATTAATCAGACTTCACTGTCCATATCACTTTCAACCTTTTGGGAAGGTAGAAAGATGGAATTCTGAAACTAAAGTTGGTAAAGTTCACAGACATCGTCAAACTTGCATGGTCTAAGGTATTTCTTCTTTCTGTGGTTCATGAGTTAGTAACAGCTAAACCAAGTGTCTAGGAATATTAGCTCTGATTCTAGAAATCTACACTTATTTAACTAAATGCTGTAAGGACTCAGGAAATCCATTCTTTCAACAAAAGTTACTGAAGACTTTCCCCATTAGTATCCTAAACAATGTCTGCAAAATTGGTTTTCATACCTGGATACCTTGTCTTCTAAGAGACACGGCAGGGAAAGATCATAGGAAAAAAGTCACTATCAGGCACAGCTAACAACTAGCAAACCCATAGTCTTTAAAAGACTGATCCTTTGATTCCTATCTCTCAAGTAAAGAGGTTTAGGTCATCTTCATATTACAGGAAAGTATCCCTACCAAAAACTTCTAACTAATGACTCTTAGGATTCTTCCAAAAGCAAATAGTCTTTGGGAGAAGACAGCTTCCATCAAATGCCTTTGGATCAAGTGAATCACTATATGAGATATCGGTATCTGCAAACCAAGATCCACAAAAAAAGATCCATTGTTTGTCATATTTAATCTGTATATCTTGAGTTTTCATTTTCCTAGTTAACTTTATCTTTTTATGCTTAAGGTTACATTTAATTACTTTACCTATAAAGCTACTATTCCTAATTCCTCTATGCCGTCCTTAGTCACTCTCTAGAAGAGTCCGGAAGCTGGCCGTAATTTGTTCACAATTTGGCTAAACATGCAGTTGAATCAGTGCTAAGCTGCACACATTTTCCTTAGGATGCCAATTAGAGTTTTTTTTTTTAACATCGATTCCTAAATATGAAACATCTGGGTTTATCAATAATTGGACTCACTATTTATTGTTATTTTATCTGACAAACAGCAGAGTATTAGATAAATAGAAATCTTAAATCCTAACATGCTGCACCCAGGAAAGAAAGCTTATGCCTACAGCAGAACAGCACTTAGGGATCTTTAATAGAATGCAACTTCTGTCACTAAACCTTTAGAAAGAAATGTCTTAAAAAGAAGAGAACAAATGGCACATACTTAATTCATTTCTCACATTTACATATCATAAAAAATTCTTATTACATATTCAAGCTCCTATCACATCTACCTCTTCCTCTATGTGATAAGGTCTTCATTTTATATCCCCAAAAGTGATTAATAGCAGAATGGAGCTGAAAGCAATCAATAAACTCAATCAACCTTAATGACTGCTACTGGATTTGTGGTACCAGAACCTATTGATTATTACAGCAATCTTGACATAAACTAACATACTGATGTGGTAGTCAGAATAATGGCTCTTCAGAGATGATGCGGTCCTAATCCAGATAATTTATAAATTTGTTAGCTTACCTGGCAGGACAGACTTTGCAAATGCAATTAGAGTTAAGGATTTTGAAATGGAGAGACTATCATAGATTTTTAGATGGCCAAATGCAATCATAAGATTCTTTACACGTAGAAGAGGGAGATATAAAAGGAGAATGTGAAGACTTGCTCCTTCATTTGTAGCTTTGAAGGTCAAGGAAAGGAACTGTTATGAACTGAATATTTGTGTCTCCCTAAAATTAATCTATTGAAGATGATTGGCATTGTTCAAATATTAATAGATTATTTTCAATGATCTATTAATTGGCAGTGTGATAGTATCTGGAGATGGAGCTTTTGGGAGGAACCTAGGTTGAGATAATGTCCTAAGTGTGGTGTTCTCATGATAATGTTAGTGTTCTTATAAGAAAAGGTGGAGATACTAGACCACCTCCCACCCAACCACCCTTCTCTTTCTCTCTCCGTAAACATGTATCCAGGAAAGGCCATGTGAACACAGAGAGAAGGAGGCCATCTACTAACCAGAGAGGGAGTGGGCCCTCACCATGAACCAAATATACCAGCACCTTAATCTTGGACTTCCCAACTTTCAGAACTCTGAGAAATAAATGTCAGTTGTTTAAGTCACCCGGTCTATGGTATTTTCTTACAGTATTCCAAGCTGCCCAAGACAGGGAACATGCATCAAAGAATGCAGCTGGATTCTAAAGCCTGGGAAAGGCCAGGTCATGGATTATTCCACAGAGCCTATAGAAGGAATGCAGTCTTCCAATGCTTTGATTTTAAATCAGTAAGACCTGTGTTGAACTTCTAACCTGGAATACTGCTAGACAATAAATTTATGTTGTTTTAAACTACTAAGTGTATTGTGATTTTTATAACAGCCACAGGAAAATAATACATTTGGCAAATCAGTGCATGTTTCATGATGGTCAATGATATGCCCCAGGGTCCATCTTAGCCATGATTTCTATCCCTTCAAAAACCAAAACAAAATAAAAAAGTAAAACAAAAAGACCAATTTTACTATACTACTTGATTTTTAACAATATTTTATATGTATTTAATCCAGTATATCCAAAATATTGTCATCTCAGCATAAAACAATATTAAAATTATTCAGTTTTACATTTTTTAAACTAAATCTAGTTTGTATTTTACATATAGCATAAATCAATTCAAATCCACCATATTTCAAGTGTTCAATATCTACATGTCACTAGTAATGACTATAGTGGACAGAATTGATCCAGATTTCCAGGTGTATTGCTATAAAACTAACCATATTTTTATCTTATTAAAACAAAACAAAACTCCTCCATAACTATGTCTATGTTCCTTTTGCTTTTATTAACATTGAACATATTCTTGTTTTTAATCTAATTTTGTCTGTATTTAGGTCTATTTTTTGGTGGTGTTATTTCTTGTATGCTTGGCATCAACTTTTTTTTCAATTTCTTAGACTATCTAAACTATTATGCTCTGAGTTTAGCTCAATTTCAATCAGCTACTCACTTTGAAAGACTCATTTAACTCTCTTAAGCCATTCTCCACAAACATGAAAAATCTTCCTCTCACTCTTCCCTGCTGAAACACTGCAAAAGTATGTCAAAATGGTGTACTTTCTTGGCACAGGGTTTCAATAAACTTAGTTTTGCTTTAATAACAAATTATCTGAATATATTTCAGGGAGTTCCACTGGTAAAAGCATAAAATCATGTTAGTTCAGGTCATCTTTTGTAAAGTTATGACAGTGCCATAGTATCAATTCTTGTCAAAATTTATGACTTCAAAATCAACTTAATATGCATCAACATAGATATTTTTTAGTTAATTCTAGACTCCAGGTGCTCATTTAAATAATATGGGTACATAAGACTGAACAAAACCAGTTGCTATTGAATGTACATTTTAGAGAAATACTTCATACACAGCTCTGTTTTGTTAAATAAGGAACTTGATGACATAATCAATATCACGGCAGCATACAACTGTTTGGTTAGTATGTCTCTTTAAACAAGCACATACGCTCATTCATGGAGTGTGTATTTGTATCTGTGTATGGTCTGTGTGGTGAAGCAGCAAGCAACAGTTGGATGTCTTAATTATCTAACAGGAAAAAACACCTAAATAATCAGAAGAAATTTTGATTTATTTATTAGTTCGACTGAGCTTTTCTCTTGAATGTAACACAGATGGTCCCAGATTTACAATGGTACAACTTTACAGCTTCATCATGGTACAAAAGTGATAAACATTCAGTAGAAACAATGCTTTTATTACCCATATACCCATTCCGTTTTTCACATTCAGTATTTAATAATTTACATGTGATATTCAACACTTTATTTAAAAATAGGCTTTAGGTTAGATTTTTTTTTTGGACTGGCTAATGTAAGTGTTCTGAGCACATTTCTTAAGTGTATTTTTTTTTAATACTTTAAGTTCTAGGGCACATGTGCACAACTTGCAGGTTTGTTACATATGTATACATGTGCCATGTTGGTTTGCTGCACCCATTAACTCATTAACTACATTAGGTATTTCTCCTAATGCTATCCCTACCCATCCCCCCACCCCACAATAGGCCCCAGCATGTGATGTTACCCACTCTGTGTCCAAGTGTTCTCGTTGTTCAATTCCCACCTATGAGTGAGAACACACGGTGTTTGGTTCTCCGTCCTTGCGAAGGTTTGCTCAGAATGATGGTTTCCAGCTTCATCCACGTCACTACAAAGGACATGAACTCATCATTTTTTATGCCAGCATAGTATTCCATGGTGTATGTATGCCACATTTTCTTAATCCAGTCTATCATTGATGGACATTTCGGTTGGTTCCAAGTCTTTGCTATTGTGAAGAGTGCCGCAATAAACATACATGTGCATGTGTCTTTATAGCAGCATGATTTATAATGCTTTGGGTATATACCCAGTAATGGGATCACTGGGTCACATGGTATTTCTAGTTCTAGATACTTGAGGAATTGCCACACTGACTTCCACAATGGTTGAACTAGTTTACACTCCCACAAACAGTGTAAAAGCATTCCTATTTCTCCACATCCTCTCCAGCACCTGTTGTTTCCCGACTTTTTAATGATCGCCATTCTAACTGGTGTGAGATGCTATCTCATTGTGGTTTTGATTTGCATTTCTCTGATGACCAGTAATGATGAGCATTTTTTCATGTGTCTGTTGGCTGCATAAATGTCTTCTTTTGAAAAGTGTCTGTTCATATCCTTTGTCCACTTTTTGATGGCTTTGTTTTTTTCTTGTAAATTGGTTTAAGTTCTTTGTAGATTCTGGATATTAGCTATTTGTCAAATGGGTAGATTGGAAAAATTTTCTCCCATTCTGTAGGTTGCCTGTTCGCTCTGATGGTAGTTTCTTTTGCTGTGCAGAAGCTCTTTAGTTTAATTAGACCCCATTTGTCTATTTTGGCTTTTGTTGCCATTGCTTTTGGTGTTTTACACATGAAGTCCTTGCCCATGCCTATGTCCTGAATGGTATTGCCTAGGTTTTCTTCTAGGGTTTTTATGGTTTTAGGTCTAACATTTAAGTCTTTAATCCATCTTGAATTAATTTTTCTATAAGGTGAAGGAAGGGATCCAGTTTCAGCTTTCTACATATGGCTAGCCAGTACCATTTATTAAATAGGGAATCCTTTTCCCATTTCTTGTTTTTGTCAGGTTTGTCAAACATCAGATGGTTGTAAATGTTTAGCGTTATTTCTGAGGCCTCTGTTCCATTCCATTGGTCTATATCTCTGTTTTGGTACCAGTAAAATGCTGTTTTTGTTACTGTAGCCTTGTAGTATAGTTTGAAGTCAGGTAGCGTGATGCCTCCAGCTTTGTTCTTTTTGCTTAGGATTGTCTTGGCAATATGGGCTCTTTTTTTGATTCCATATGAACTTTAGTTTTTTCCAATTCTGTGAAGAAAGTCATTGGTAGCTTGATGGGGATGGCATTGAATCTATAAATTACCTTGGGCAGTATGGCCATTTTCACGATATTGATTCTTCCTACCCATGAGCATGGAATGTTCTTCCATTTGTTTGTGTCCTCTTGTATTTCGTTGAGCAGTGGTTTGTAGTTTTCCTTAAAGAGGTCCTTCACATCCCTTGTAAGTTGGATTCCTAGGTATTTTATTCTCTTTGTAGCAACTGTGAATGGGAGTTCACTCATGATTTGGCTCTCTGATTGTCTGTTATTGGTGTATACAAATGCATGTGATTTTTGCACACTGATTTTGTAACCTGAGACTTTGCTGAAGTTGCTCATCAGCTTAAGGAGATTTTGGGCTGAGATGATGGGGTTTTCTAAATATACAATCATATCACCTGCAAACAGGGACAATTTGACTTCCTCTTTTCCTAATAGAATGCCCTTTATTTCTTTCTCTTGCCTGACTGCCCTGGCCAGAACTTCCAACACTATGTTGAATAGGAGTGGTGAGAGAGGGCATCACTGTCTTCTGCTAGTTTTCAAAGGGAAAGCTTCCAGTTTTTGCCCATTCAGTATGATACTGGCTGCGGGTTTGTCATATATAGCTCTTATTATTTTGAGATATGTTCCATCAATACCTAGTTCATTGAGAGTTTTCAGCATGAAGGGCTATTGAATTTTGTCAAAGACCTTTTCCGCATCTATTGAGATAATCTTGTGGTTTTTGTCTTTGGTTCTCTTTATGTGATGGATTACATCTATTGACTTGCGTATGTTGAACCAGTCTTGCATCCCACGGATGAAGCCAACTTGATCTTGGTGGATAAGCTTTTTGATGTGCTGCTGGACTCGGTTTGCCAGTATTTTTGTTAAATGTACTAAATGCATTTTTTACCTAAAATATTTTCAACTTATGAGTATATCCAGATCCATCATAACACATCTTGGCCTGTGGTTATCAGGATGTAACTCATTATAAGTCGAGGTAGATTTGTATTATATCCCATGTACACACACACACACACACACACACACACACACACACACACACACAGACTTAATCTGTTTACAGAAATAAAAGGAATAAAATACCGTTTCTATTATACACCAAAACTAGCCATCTTGACAGATACTTCACTCTGAAAAATAACGTTTTATAGCTACTTTACAGATTAGTATAATAATTTGGTGTTTCTGTTTCAGAGATTCGATTTCACATTTCAATAAGTAGGCCGCTCCCTCTGCTAAGCCTGGGAATGTAATTCTTTTGAAAAACTATCTGTGCTGTAAAATTACATGTCATATTGGGAAAAGGACAATCGCAAACAGTAGTCACACATAAAATCAAGCAACACAGACATCCTTTTCACATACAGTGAAGACCCTTGTCAATTTTGAGATTACACAGGAAAACAGAATGGGGGACAAGTGTCTCTGACACATAGAAAATCCCGTGAAGAAGAACTCAGCTGACACAATCAAAACATACACAAAACTGAAAGAAACAAGGTGAGTGCTTTTTATATTAGTTCAGCTGTCAAGAAAGTGTAAAATAAACCTAACATTTTTTTACTAAGTGAGGATTTTCTTTTTTGAAACATCATCATTTATATTTATCCAGTTTGCAACTTCATCAGCTGAATCTCAGGATGTGTTCCATGACACTGAAGGACAATTAAATCATATCCATGACAATATATGAGAAGCTGACAGGAGAACATGGTGGCATTTGAATTAATGTCTATCATTAGATAGAATTTCTGATCACATAATTTAAGTTGTAGTTTTCCATACAATTTAATCAAGATAAGCACTTATTAGGTGAGTGATATACTTTGGCTCTGTGTCCCCACACAAATCTCATGTTGAATCGTAATCCCCACGTGTCAGGGGAGGGGTCTGGTAGGAGGTGATTTGATCATGGGGGTGGATTTCCCATACTGTTCTCGTGACAGTCAGTGAGTTCTCACAAGATCTGATGGTTTAAAAGTGTGTGGAACTTCCCCCCGGCTCTTCTCTCTACTGACACCATGTGAAGAAGGCACCTGCTCCCCCTTTACCTTCTGCCATGATTGTTAGTTTCCTGAGGCCTCCCAGTCGTGCTTCCTGTTAAGCTTGCAGAACTGTGAGTCAATTAAACCTCTTTTCCTCATAAATTACCCAGTAGTTCTTTATAGCAGTTTGAGAAGAGATAGATACAGAAAATTGGTACCAGAGAAGTGGGGCATTGCTATAAAAATACCTGAAAATATGGAAGTAACTTTGGAACTGGGTAACAGGCAGAGGTAGGAAACAGTTTGGAGGACTCAGAAGAAGACAGGGAGATATGGGAAAGTTTAAATCTTCCTAGAGACCTGTTGAATGGTTGTGAACAAAATGCTGATAATGATTTGGATAACGAAGTCCAGGCTGAGGGGGTCTCAGATGGAGATGAGGAACTCATTGAGAACTGAAGAAAAAGTTACTCTTGCTATGCTTTAGCAAAGAGACTGACAGCCTTTTGACCCGGCCCTAGAGATCTGTGTAATGTTGAACTTCAGAGAGATGATTTAGGGTATCTGGTGAAACAAATTTCTAAGCAACAGACCTTCCAACATGTGGCCTGGCTGCTTCTAAAAGTTTATGCTCATGTCCATGAAGAAAGAGATGGCTTGAAACTGAAACGTATATTTAAAAGGAAAGCAGAGCATAAAAGTTTGGAAAATTTGCAGCCTAACCATATAGTAAAAAAGAAAAACCCACGCTCTTGGGAGAAATTCAAGCAAAAATTTGCATAAGTAAAGAGGAGCCAAATGTTAATGGCAAAGACAATGTGGAATACGTCTCCAGTACATTTCAGAGACCTTTGAGGCAGCCCCTCCCATTATAAGCCTGGAGGCCTAGGAGGGAGAAATTGTTTAGTGGGATGGGCCCAGGGCCCTGCTGCTCTGGGCAGCCTCGGGACATGGTGCCCAGTGTTCCAGCTGCTCAGCTCCAACTGTGGCTAAAAGGGTCCAAGGCACTACTCAGGCCATTGCTTCAGAGAATACAAGCCTCAAGCTTTGGTGGCTTCCACATGAGGCTGGGCCTGTGGTTGTGCAGAAGGGAAGAGGTGAGGTTTGGGAACCTCCATCTAGATTTCAGAGGATGTATGGAAATGCCTGGATGTCTAAGCAAAAGTCTGCTGCAGAAGTGGAGCCCTTATGGAGAACCTCTACTAGGGCAGTGCAGAGGGAAAATGTGGGGTTGGAGCCCCCACACAGATTCCCCACTGGGGCACTCCCTACTGGAGCTTTGAGAAGAGGGTCATAGTGCTTCAGACCCCAGAATGGTAGATCCACTGACAGCTTGCACAGTGTGCCTGGAAAAGTCACAGGCACTCAATCCTAGCCTGTGAAAGCAGCTGTGGGGGCTGTGCCTTGCAGAGCCACAGAGGCAGAGCTGTCAAAGCTCATGGGAGCCCAGATATTGCATCAGTATGCTCTGGACGTGAGAGATGAGGTCAAAGAAGATTGTTTCAGAGCCTTAAGATTTAATGACTGCCTTGTCGGGTTTTGGACTTGCATGGGGCCTGCAGACCCTTTGTTTTGGCTAATTTCTCCCTTATGGAATTGGAGTGTTTACCTGATCCCTGTACCCCCACTGTTGTCTTGAAATTAACTAACTTGTTTTTGATTTTACAGGCTTATAGGCAGAAGCGATTTGCCTTGTCTCAGATGAAACTTTGGACATGGACTTTTGAGTTAATGCTGGAATAAGTTAAGACTTCCAGTCTGTTGGGAAGGCATGATTGGTTTTGAAATGTGAGAAGGACATGATACTTGGGAGGGGCCAGAGGAGAAATAATATGGCTTGGCCCTCTGTCCCCACCCAAATCTCATCTCAAATTGTAATCCCCTCATGTCAAGAGAGGGGCCTGGGTGGAGGTGACTGGATCATGGGAGCAGATTTCCACATGCTATTCTCATGATAGTGAGTGAGTTCCAAGAGATCTGATGGTTTAAAAGTGTGTGGCACTTCCCTCCTTGTGCTCTCTCTCTCCTGGTGCCATGTCAAGAAGAACCTTGTTTCCCCTTTGCCTTCCACCATGATTTTCTGAGTTTCCTGAGTCCTCCCATTCATGCTTCCTGTAAAGCCTGAAGAACTATGAATCAATTAAATCTCTTTTCTTCATAAATTACTCAGTCTCAAGTCATTCTTTATATCATTGTGAAAACTGACTACTACGGTTAGCAATCTTAAAGAATACTTGTGATTTTGAGAATCAGGCACATATTTTTTTAATAATCGGACTGCTTACAATTGTTTAACTCCTTGCAACTTATAGTTAGTGCCTAAAACTTTGATGACTTTCATTACATTTCAATGGCTCTGTTCCCTTATAGCAAACTACCTTTTTTACTGTACTTACTGTAACTACAGTGCATTTATTTTCAGCCCAAATAGTATTCAGTAATAAGCATTTCTTCCCACATAAGAATAAGTTATATTCCTATTCACTATATTCTAGAATTTCTATTTTCCTTCCACAGTGCCAGCTAAAATTAAAGTGGAATAATCTATTGGGGCCCTGTGTATTTAATGTTTGTTTTCTTAGTATATTATAAACACTGTGAAGGAAGGAAATCCTTGCCTCTTGTTTATACTTTTATCTCCATTATAGAAACACTCTGCATTATTTTCTTACTGCTGCTGTAGCCAATTACTACAAAGTTAGTGGTTTAAAATAGCACAAATATAGTGTCAAACAATTGTGTTTGTCAGATGTCTGCAATGCATCTTATGAGGCTAAAATCAAAGAGTGAGAACTGTTGTGTTCCTTTCTGAAGGTTTTAGGGGAAAATCAGTTTCCTTGACTTTTCCAGCCTCCAGAGGCTGTCCTGATTTGTTAGCTTATGGTCTTTCATTTGTTCAAACCAGAAATGCTGTGTCTCTCTGACCATTCTTTTGAAATCATACCACCTTATGTTTCTAGCCAAGAATGTTTCCCTAGTTTAAACCCATTTGATTACACTGAACTCAAAAGGACACTTTTTCATCTTACCATCCTTAACATTATAATACTTGCAAAGCCCCTTTTACCAGATAGTTAACATATTCACAGCTTCCAGAAATCAGGACATGCGGTTTTTTTTTTGTTGGTTTGTTTGTTTTGTAAACCATTATTTTGCTTACTATACTGTCTTAATTGGAGGAAGCAACTTCTTCGAATAGGTGAATTAATTTCAAATTGATAATGTGATTCTGAATGAACATTAAAGAAATCAACTATTACACCGAACATTACTTTATTGAGCTAAACAAATATTAACTGACTATATAAAATTCATTACACATTTGGAGATAGAATTTTGTACTCTTTAATAAGACTTTTTACATTTTTTGCAATCCTTTTTCTTATTTAAAAAATCAGTACTGTATTAGTACCCACAATATAAGTTTGTTCTAAGAATCAAATGAGATAAACATTTCAGACACCTATCATAGTATCAAGTTCATATCGTAAGCCTAAAATACCAGATGACTTTTATTATTTTCAGAATGTAGTCAAAATCAACATAAAGTTACATTAACACTTGGTTTACTGTATCATAATGCTAGCTTTGTGTCATATCTATCTAGAGAGTACACTGAATAGCTTAAACCAAGTAGAAGGTGATTTCTTGCTTACATAACAGTTTACCATAAGTAATTTTGGCTAAAGACGCATCTTTCCTGCAAAAAATAATTCAAGTTAACGAAGGATCTACTATTACCAAATTGTATCTTCCCAGATTACTTTGTATATATCACCATTCCAGAAGACAAAAGACTACTCATGAAATACAATTTGCACACTTCTTTATATATGAAAAATTCACTTCTCTTCCCTCTGTAAACAACTTAAAGTTTTGCCCAGTTACTGCCTACAACTTAGAGTTCAGGATGTTTCATGACGTGCAGTTCTCTCCCTCAGGCCACTATATGACTTAACGAGGACTAGTGTCCTATAAAGTCAAAAGACAAATTATCTGTAAAATCTAAGTTACCATGGTGAAGCTCCTATCAGAAGACAAAGAAGTCTGCAGAGCACTGACAAAAATATTTCTGAGCAGTACAAATATTTATTTGATGAAACCATAAACATGTCCTGTGGAAATAACTTTAAGGTCCATTGTCCCTGTGGCTCATAGATTTACTTTCTGAGGTAATTTACATTTTCTCTTATTCTCCATGCCTCCATCTTAAATTAGAACAATGAGTGTTTTCTCAGCATGACTCATCAATTGCACTGATTAGTGCAATTTGGGATGCTTGAGGATATTTTAAGCCTTAATTTTTTTTTCTCACAATAGGCTTATTGTACCTTTGCCAAGTAGTTATGTGGAAACCATTTATTTATTTATTGGATCTAGTTTATAACCAAACATACAGTTCTTTCCTAGGTATAATTCTAAAGTCTGCCTCATTTCCTTCTTTTTTCTCCTCCCCAACACACATATGCTTCTCTGACTGTAAAGATGACCACTTTAAGGTCATTTGAAATCATAGACTTGAAAGAGAAAACAACTTCCCTGATGAGTTCTTTGCTTCAGGGCTGGGTTCCTTGTTTTTTATGAACACAGTAGGATTTAATTTCTGAGCAGCTTTTTCAACCTAATCAGAAAAACCTGAGCTTTTCTGTCACTGTATAATTCCACCATTACTAGACTTTTTGTTTACAAGTGGTTTCCAACAAGGAATGACTTTGTTTCCATAGAACACTTGTCAGTGTCTGGAGACATTTTGAATTATAATGATTAGGTGGTGATGCTACTGGTATGTGGTGGTATAGCCTAAAGATACTATTAATATCCTACAATGCAAAGAATAACCTCCCACAGAATGCAGGAATATCAGGCATAAAATGTCAATAATGCTAAGGTTTAGCAACTCAACTCTATCCACTTTCTTTCCACTCTAAAGACAGGATATTTCTTTTTTCTTTTTTTTTTTTTTTTTTTTGCCTGTGTTTATCTATTTCTTGGATTATGGAACAGAACAAACATGAACACATTACCTTTTGCCTTTCCTCATTTCCCACACTCTTTCCTAGAGGTAATATTAAGCTTCCAATTAATTTTAGATGGTAGTTTCAATAATTTTTTTTCACTGGGTATTACAAGTCTTCATTTCAACCCTCTGAGTTTGGTTTACTTGTCCATTTAATACTAATTTAGTGGATACGTTTTAGGTGCTGTTATGGCAGACCCAACTCAAGCTGGTGATTTCTATATTACTTGGAATCGTGCTAGTTGCTTTGACAACTACACTCAACAACATATAATATCTTAAACAGAACAGAAGTTTCATTCATATAAACTGTTTTTTTAAGATAGGAAAAGCATTGCTCCTTTATGTCCGCATTCAAGAACATAGGCTACTAAGGTATTTAATCTGCAGTATGTTGCTTCCAAGACTACTGTAGAATTGGCCGTTCCAGTCAAGCATACTGAAAAACGTATACAGAAGAGTGCATGTTGGGATTTTGGAGACTTAATTGGATATAAAATATGTTATTTCTACTAATTTTCCACTATTTTGACTTTAATCCCATGCCCTAATATAAAGTATATAAGAATGAGAAACATAGTTTATGTATCTATCAAAATAGAACATAAATGTTTGTGAACATTTGAATCTGTCAGCTTCTCTTGCTCACGTGCCTGTAGTGCCTGTACTCAGGATGCTGAGGCAGGAGAATCGCTTGAACCCAGGAGGTGGAGGTTGCAGTGAGCTGAGGTCACACCACTGCACTCCAGCCTGGGCAACAGAGCGAGACTCCATCTCAAAAAAAAAAAGAAGTGACTCAACTGATTGATGTGTAAAACCTCATTGTAAAATAATGTTCTATAAATGAGACATTAATACAGTTAAATTTTTGGATTAAAAAAGTCTGCCACTTTGTGAATATGTTTTATTTAGGCTTGATTTAGTTAATTTTCTTTTTTCTTTTTCTTTTTTTTTTTTTCTGAGGAGTTTCACTGTTGCTGCCCAGGCTGCAGCGCAGTGCTGGGATCTCGGTTCACTGCATCCTCCACCCCGCCAGTTCAAGTGATTCTCCTGCCTTAGCCTCCTGAGTAGCTGGGATTACAGGCACCCACCCACCACCATACCCGGCCAATTTTTTGTGTTCTTAGTACACATGGGGTTTCACCATGTTGGCCAGGATGGTCTCGAACTTCAGACCTCAGGTGATCCGCCCACCTTGGCCTCCCAAAGTGCTGGGATTACAGGCATGAGCCACCGCACCCAGCCAGTTAATTTTTCTATTAACTAAGACCTAATTAAGATTGAGGCAGAAGAAATGGGTCCTTGGGATTTGAAAATTACTATTCAATTTGGAAGTTTAATTTGCAACATAGATTGTCTGTTATTAAATTACTAGATATAATATCACAAAGGTGGAAAGAAAGGTTGCTTAGTTAAAGATCTAAGTTACTAGTCATGGTGTCAGATATAGAGAATGATTGAAGGTTATCAGAGTCACACACCAGATGAGTAAATTGTTGTTTTCAAGGAAGAGGTTACATAAAGGTAAGCGGAGTAATATTTCAGCATTTTTGTTAATTAAAAATTTGTAAAGTTATTTCCATTTCAAGGAAATTACTCTCAGTAATTTTACGGGTAAAATGACAAATTCCAAGTTTAATTTTCACATGTAACACCCTCCTTGAGCACTTATTTTTATAAAGCTATTAATCTATTTTGGTCTCAATTTACCTTTCTTTAAAGAGATTTTAAAATTTTCTGAAAGAAGTTGACATCTGGAAGTGTAGCTGTTATATTTTTCAATTTTTAATTACATATTTAATTATCCTTTAATTACTTAAGGTTATTCTCAAAAGTGAAGAGATAGCTGGGATCACACTGCGTAAGATTTTACTCCTGAATGTAATATTCAAAAATGTTACAAAGTCTATCAAAGAGGTTTTCATTCTGTGACAATACATGGTCAATTTGACATGGTCAGGAAGCACCACCCCCACTGAGAGATACCAAATTATGGAGTAAACCACCGTAATTTAGGCAGATCTTGAGAGAGAAAATGCTGAGTGGATGCAGAGGCAGCAATGAAGCTGAGCTGAAGAGGGAGGAAGCCTGTGCAGGGAACCCAAACACTACAGCTAGTTCCCCAGAATGGCTCCTAGGAAAGGGCCTCTGCCTGAGAGAGACCTGTGGCCTAGAACACCTAACACAAGAAACACAGTGATTGCAGGAGACTCCCCCAGGGCCCAGGAGCACATCTGGTGATGGAGGCATCTCTCCCACCCCCACTATAGAGCACACCTGCAAACAAAAGGAAGTATAAAACAGCCATGCCACTGGGTATTAGGCTAGCCACTGGCCATCACTCTTAAGCACTATGCATTGGATCACATCCCAAACTACAACATCAAAATTTATCCTGCTACATATACACCTGTGAAACCAAACACAAGAATTACTCATACATAAAAATCCTGGACAGAGAAAGCCCTGACCCTTTGAAAGCATCCAGAAACAAAACCAATTGCCTATACTCAACATACACTACAGTTAAAGGAACACTAACCCTACCAGAAGAGAAAAAATCAGTGCAAGAACTCTGGCAATTCAAAAAGCTAGAGTGTCCTCTTACCTCAAAATTAGCCCACTAGCTACCAAGCAATGGTTCTTAATCAGTCTAAAATAATTGCAACAGACATAGAATACAGAACCTCGATGGCAGGGAAGCTCATGAACATTAAGGAGAAAGTTGAAACCCTAGCCAAGTAATCCAGTAAAGCAATCTAAGTAAGTGCTGAAAGATGAAATTGCCATTTTAAACAACAGCCACACTGAATTTCTAGAGCAGAAAAAATTCAGTATAAGAATTTTATAATACAGTAAGAAATATTAACAGAAGGTAGGCCAAGCTAAGGAAAGAATCTCAGAGCTCAAAGACTGGTTCGTTGAATCAACTGAGTCAAAAGAAAATTTTAAAAAAGAATTAAAAAAAGAAAATGAACCAAAGCTTTAAGAAATATGGAATTATATAAAGAGACCAAATCTACGACTCATTGTCATTCCTAGAAGAGAAACAAAGAGAAAAGGCAACTTGGAAAATAGATTTGAGAATAGAGTCTATGAAAATTTTCCTAACCTCGCTAGAGAGAGTGACATGTAAATCCAAAAAATACAGCAAACCCAGCTAGGCACTATAAAAGGTGACTATCCCTAAGGCACACAGTCATCATATTCACCAAAGTAAATACAAAAGAAAAAAAAAATCTTAAAGGCAGCTAGAGAGAAAGGTCATGTTTTCATAAAGCAAGAACTCCACTAGGCTAGTAGTAAATATCTCAGCAAAAACCTTACAAGCCAGAAGAGATTAAGGGCCTATGTCCAACATCATTAATGAAAATAAATTCCAGGCAATAATTTTATATTTCACTAAACTAAACTTCCTAAGTGAAGAAGAAACAAATTTCTCCTCAGATAAGCAAATACTGAGGGAATCAATTTCAACTTGACCAGCCTTATGAAAGGTCCTTAAGGGAGTGCTATACATTGAGTAAAAAGAATGACACCTGCTACCACAAAAACCCACTTAAGTACATAGCTCACAGGCACTATAAAGTATCTACACAATCAAGTCTACCTAAAAACCAGCTACAAACGTGATGATAGGATCAAAATCTCATGTATCAACATTAACCATAAATGTAAATAGGCTAAACACCCCCACTTAAATGACATACAATGGCAAACTGGATAAAAATGCAAGGCTCACCATCTGCAGTCTTCAAGAGACTCACCTCATATGTAATGACAGCCACTGGCCCAAAATAAGGGGATGGAGAAAATCTGCCATGCAAATGATAACAAAAAAGCAGGAGTAACTATTCTTATATCAGATAAAACAGACTTTAATCAAAATTAAAAAGAACAATTGAAGAATGAAGAGCATTACGTCATGAGAAAGTATATGATCAAACAAGAATACTTAAGTACCCTAAATATAAATGCACCCAACATGGAGCACCCAGATTCATAAAACAAGTTCTTTTTGGACTACAAAAAGACAGACGACCACCCAATAACTGTAGGAGACTTCAACACCCCCGCTGGCAGCACTGGATCATCAAAGCAGATAACTAAGGAAGAAACTGTGTACTTAAACTTCACCCTTGACCATCTGGACCTAATAAGACATCTACAGAACACTCCACTCAATAACCACAGAATATACATTCTTCTCATCTGCACAGGGAACATATTCTAACATTGACCACATGCTTGGTCATAAAGCAAGTCTGGATAAATTTTAAAAAATGAAATCATATCAAGCACACTCTTAGATCTCAATGTAATCAAAATATAAATAAATACCAACATCTCTCAACACTACACAAATAGATGAAAATTAAACAACTTTCTCCTGAATAACTTCTGTGTGAAAATCAAAATTAAGGGAGAAATTTTAAGAAAGTGAAATTAATGAAAATGGGAACACAAATTACCAAAATCTCTGGGATGCAGCTAAATCAGTGTTAAGAGGAACGTTTAAATGCCTTTATCATAAAGTTAGAAATACTTCAAATTAACAATCTAACACTACACCTAAAGGAACTAGGGAAGAAAAAAAAAAGAACAACCCTACATCAACGCTAGGAATGAAAAGAAACAACTAAAATAGAGAAGATCTGAATGAAATTGAGATGCAAAAATCCATACAAAAGATTAATGAAACCAAGAGTTGATTTAAAAAAAGAGATTGATAGACCTTTAGCTAGATAAACAAAGAAAAAAAAGAGAAGATCTAAATATATAAATCAGAATGACAAAAACGACATTAAAAATGGTCCCACAGACATACAAAATAATCCTCAGAGAATACTAGGAATAACTCTAGACACAAAAATTAGAAAATCTAGAGGAAATGGATAAATTTCTGAAAACAGGCAATCTTCCAAGATTGAATCAGGAAGATACTGAAATACTGAAGAGACCAATATGAAGCTCTGAAATTGAATAAGTAATAAAAAATCTACCAAGCCAAAAAGCCCTGGACTATATGGATTCACAGCAAAATTCTACCGGAAGTATAACGAAGAACTAGTACAATTCTACTGAAACTATTCCAGAAAAGTTGAAGAGAACGTACTCCTTCCTAACTCACGCTGTGAAGCCAGAAGCAGCTTAATACCAAAACCTGGCAGAGACGCAAAAAAAAAGAACATTCAGGTGACCACTGTTGACGAACATAGACTCAAAAATTCTCAACAAAGTACTAGCAAACTGAATCCATCAGCAGCATATCAAAAAATTAATCTACTATGACAATACAGGCTTTATTCCTGGGATGCATGGCTGGTTCAACATATGCAAATCAATAAATGTGATTCACCAGATAAACAGAATTAAATCAAAAACCATATGATCATCTCAACGGATGCCGGAAAAGCTTTCAATTAAATCCAGTGTCCCTTCATGAAAAAACAAAACAAAAAAAAACCCTCAACAGTTGAGGCTTCAAATAAGCATACTTCAAAATAAAAAAGAGCTATCTACAACAAACCCACAGCCAATATAATACTCAATGGGCAAAAGCTGAAAGCATTCTCCTTTAGAAATGAAACAAGCCAAGGACATCCACTCTTACCACTCCTATTCAACATAGTACCAGAAATCCTAGTCAGAGCAATCTTGCAACAGAAAAAGAGAAAAGCACCCAAATAGGAAGTAAAGATTAAGGCAAACTATCTGTCTTCACCCAACAATATCCTTCTATACCTAAAAAAGCTTAAAGACTTCAACAAAAGTCTACTAGAAATGATAAAGGATTTTAGCAAGGTTTCAGGATACAAAATCAATGTACAACAATTAGTAGCATTTCTATACAACAACAACATCCAGGTTGAGAGTTAAATTAAGAACACAATCATATTTACAACACCTAGGATGAAAATAAAATCCCTGCAAATACAACTAACCTAAGATGTGAACGATCTCCACAAGGAGAATTACAAAACACAGCTGAAATCTGAAGCTGGATGCAGTGGTTCATGCCTTTGGGAGGCCGAGGCAGGTATATCGCTTGGACCCAGGAGTTTTGAGACCAACCTAGGCAACATAGTGGAACCTCATCTATACAAATTTTTTTTTTTTTTTTAAATAGCGAGGCATGGTGGCACATGCCTGTAGTCCTAACTACCCTGACGGCTTGAGGCCAGGAGTTCAAGCCTGCAGTGAGCTATAATAACTCCACTGCATTCCAGCCTGGGTGAAAGGGTGAGACTCTGTCTCAAAAAAGGAAGGAAATAAGAAAAGGAAGGAAGGAAGGATGGAAGGAAGGGAGGAAGGGAGGGAGGGAGGGAAGGAAGGGAGGAAGGGAGGGAGGGAGGGAGGGAAGGAAGGAAGGAAGGAAGGAAGGAAGGAAGGAAGGAGATTTTGATAACACAAATAAATGGAATAACATTCCATGTTTACAGATTAAAAGAATCAATATGTTAAAATGGCCACACTGCCCAAAGCAACTTGTAGATTCAAGGCTATCTCCATGAAACTACCAACATCATTCTTCACAGAATTAGAAAAAACTATTCTAAATTTATATGGAACACCCCCAAAAGCCAGAATGGCCAAAGCAATTCTGAGCAAAAATAATAAAGCCAGAGAGGCGTCATACTACCCAATTTCCAGCTATACTATAAGTGTACACTAACCATGATACTGTTACAAAAGCAGACACTTAAGCCAATGGAACAGAATAGAACACTCAAAAATAAAGCTGCACACTTACCACCATCTGGATCGTGGACAAGGCCAACAAAAACAAACAATGGGGAAAAGGCACCCTATTCAATAAATGGTGCTGGGATAATTCGCTAGCCATAAGCAGAAGAGTGAAACTGGATGCTTACCTTCCACCATACACACAAATTAATTCAAGATGGATTAAAGGTTAAAATGTAAGACTTCAGATTATGAAAACTCTAAAACAAAACCTAGGAAATATTTTTCTCGACATTGGCCTTGGCAAATAATTTTTGGCTAAGTTTCTAAAAACAATTGCAACAAAAACGAAATTGACAAGTGAAAGTCAATCAAACTAAAAAGCTTCTGCACAGCAATAGAAACTATCCACAGAGTAAACAGACAACTTACAGAATGGGAGAAAATATTTGCAAACTATGCATCTGATAAAGATCTAATATAACAAATCCATAAGGAAGAAAAAATGACAAGCATAAAACAACCCCAGTTAAAAAGGGCAAAGCTAATACAGGAGCAGAAAATCAAACTCCGCATCTTCTCACTTATAAGTGGGAGCTGAACAATGGGAACACATGGACACAGGGAGGGGAACAACACACAATGGGGAACAACACACAACACACACTATAATTTTCTGTAGGGGGTTGAGGAGAGGGAGAGCATCAGGAAAAATAGCTAATGCATGCTGGGCTTAATACCTAGGTGATGGGTTGATAGGTGCCAGCAAACCACCACCACACACGTTTATCTATGTAACAAAACTGCGCTTCCTGCACATGTACCCCAGAACTTAAAATTTAAATCAAGAAAAGGCAAAGGACATGAACAGATATTTTCTCAAAAGAAGACACTCAAGTATATGAAAAAACACTCATCCTTACTAATCATCAAATAAATAAATGCAAGCAAAAACCACAGTAAGATGCCATCTCACATCAGTCACAACAGCTATAATTAAAAAGTAAAAAAATTAGATGTTGGCCAGGCTGCAGAGTAAAGGGAATGCTTATACACTACTGTTGATGGAAATGTAAACTGGTTCAGGTACTGTGGAAAGTATTTTGGAGATTTCTCTAAGAACTTAAAACAGAGATACCCTTCGACCCAGCATTCCCATTACTGGGTATATATTCAAAGGAAAATAAATTATTCTACCAGAAAAATATACATGCACTCGTACGTTCATCAGCATGTTATTCACAATAGCACAGACATGGAATGAACCTAGGTGCCCATCAAAGGTGGATTGGATAAAGAAAATGTGGTACATATACACTATGGAATACTATGCCTCCATAAAAAAGAATGAAATTATGTCCTTTGCAGCAACATGGATGGAGCTAAGGACATAATCCTAAGCAAATTAGTGCTGGAAAAGAAAACCAGATACCACACATTCTCACTTATAAGTGGAACCTAAACACTGAGCACACAGGAACATTAACATGGGAACAAGACATGCTGCAGGCTACGGGGGTGGGGGAAAGAGGGGAGCATGGGCTGAATAACTACCTACTGGGTACTATGCTCACTACCAGGGTGCACTGTACAAAAGTAACAAATCTGCATATGCACTATCTGTGTCTGAAAAAAACTGAAATTATAAAAACCAAGAGAATATGTTTCTAATGAACGTAGACTTTATTTGATGGACTGGATTAGAATATAATTTTTTTAAGGGGAAAGGCATTGGGGGATGCACAATGTCTACAGGTTTCTAAACCTCTCTGGTTTCTCACCTAATTCATAGTCTCTTATGTCATTTTCATAGTTTTCATATTCTGCCTTTCCACCTCTTCTTTTTAACAAGTAAAATTCCTCATAGCATACAAAAAAACAATTTTATAAAAAACCCATATTATAGATCAGGGACCTGTGGATTATATGCTATTAGAACTATACAAAATGTCTCTATATAGTTTTCTGTATCTTTGGAATATCTTTGGGTGAAGCTGCAGACCTTCTTGGTGAGTGTTACAGCTCTGCGCAGAGCCAAACAGTGAGCAGCAGCAAGACTGCAAAGAGCAAAAGAACAAAGCCTCCACACTGTGGAAAGGGACCCTAGCACGTTGCTGTTGCTGGCTCTGGCAGCTGCTTTTATTCCCTTATCTCACCCCACCCACATCCTGATGATCGGTCCATTTCATAGAGAGCTGATGGGTTCATTTTACAGAGAGCTGCTTGGTCTGTTTACAATCCTTTAGCTAGACACAAAAGTTCTCCAAGTCCCCACCAGATTAGCTAGACACAGAGCACTGATTAGTGCGTTCACATACCTTGAGCTAGACACAGCATGCTGATTGGTGCATTTACAATCCTCCAGCTAGACGTAGTAAGTTCTCCAAGTACCCACCGGACTCAGGAGCCCAGCTGGCTTTGCCTAGTGCATCCCGGCCGCGGGCGGAGCTGCCCGCCAGTCTCTGGCGCGCTGCCGCACTCCTCAGCCGTTGGGCGGTTGACGGGACCGGGTGCCGCGTAGCAGGAGGTGGCGCCCGTCCCCTCGGGGTGGCGCGCGGGAGCCTGCGGTTGGGGGGCGGGGGGCGGGGGGCAGGGGACGGGGGCGGGGAGGAGGGTGAGGGCTCCAGCATGGCAGGCTGCAGGTCCCGAGCCCTGCCCCCTTGCCCCGCGGGGAGGTGGCTGAGGCCCAGCGAAAATTCGAGCGCGGCGCCGGCGGGCCATCACTGTTGGAGGACCCAGTGCACCCTCCGCAGCTGCTGGCCCGGGTGCTAAGCCTCTCACTGCCCAGGGCCGGCGGCGCCAGCCGACCGCTCAAGAGTGCGGGGCGCGCCGAGCCCGCGCCCACCCGGAAGTCGCGCTGAGCCCGCGCCCACCCGGAAGTCGCGCTGGACCTGCGAGCACCGCAGGCAGCCCAGGTTCCGGCCCGCGCCTCTCCCTCCACACCTCCCCGCCAGCAGAGGGAGCCCGCTCAGGCCTCAGCCAGCACAGAGAGGGGCTCCCACGGTGCAGCTGCGGGCTGAAGGGCTCCTCAAGCGCGGCCAGAGTGGGCTGAGGCCGAGGAGGCGCCGAGAGCCAGCGAGGGATGCCAGCAAGCTGTCACCTCTCAGAAATACAGGAAGAACATCAATAATGTTCGAAGTTATAAAGTAGTAGGTTTCTATCAAGAGTAAAACATAAACGAAGTTATAAAGTAGTAGGTTTCTATCAAGAATAAAACATAAACGATCAAAGAATTCCTTATAAAAACATTTTTTATTTCTAGGAATCAAAACATAAATATAAAATTTGAGAGTCCACCAAAAAAAATTAGATGCCAGATTTCACTATAATTATCAGGGAAGCGCCCAAATGGGTTGTTTACGGCGCCTCGGGGAAACTTTCTGTTTCGTGTTAAGGGTCTTGAACCATGATGTTTAGAAAACCATGGGCTGATGCTTTCAGAACCTCTGTGATTTTTGCCTCTGACACTGCATCCAATAGACTAGCATGTTGATTAGGGAAAGCTAAATTCAATAAAAGACGACTGTAAGTGGGGTCACCACCTTGAGGGGTCATGTTAGAAAAGTAGATGATAAGGTGGTATTGATAGAGTATTGAAGTCTGGGCTCAAATGGTTGCCCGGGGCCTTTCAAGACCAATGACTGATAAGAATAGGTAATGTTCAGGACATAGAGTTTAGGATTGGGGGACACTGTGAGTTAAGGGCCATGACAGAAGTCTTCATAAGTAAACTGTTAATTGACACAAGCTGCTACCTGCCCAGGTGAGCAATCTGTTGGCCCAGAGGAGAGTTGCTTACTGACATAAATTGATTTGCAGAAATTTCCTGAAGCAAACAATAAGTTATTTATTGGTTTGCAGCCTTACTTTCCTGAAAAATAATTTTCTGGAATGAATTGTGAAATCATGTTGACACAGATGGCCTCAGGTTTCAGTTCGGATAATTAAGCTGTGTAAATATAGAAAGTCGAAGGTTTCTGGGTGCTGTTGATTCACAGTATGCAACAATGATCATATTACTTTTATTTACTATGAGCTTCAGCTGAAAATCCAAAAGAAACTTTAATTTCAGATATTTAATGAAATCATTATAGCTGTGGTAATTTCCTTTAGCTGGGTGTGAGTGTGTGATGTGAGCGTGTGATGTGTGTGTGTGTGTGTGTGTGTGTGTGTGTGTGTACTCTGGCAGCATATTCCAAATAATTTCTGTAAAATTTCAGTTTGAAATTAATAGAAGACATATTAAATTGTTTAAACTCTTTGTTATTTAAATTCTATATTACTTTAGTCGATTACTCTGTATTATTACGGCAAAGCTTTGATATGTTGCCCTGAATTTAAATGAAAAGGCTGTTCGGCCTAAAAACAGGAATATTTTATTACCAAAAAGAATTAACTACCATATGTCATTTACAGAAAAGAGTAAATTCTTCAGGGCATAGAAAATACACATTTCCTTCTGTTTGTGTGGAAATAAGCAAAATACCTGTTATAATAGATTCCTCACAGAATTTTGTGAAGCTTCAGGTAAACTTGAAAGAGAAAAATTAAAATGCTAGAGTTTCATAATTACAAATTGGGATATAAAAATAGAATAATTATTTGAATTTTGTATTTCTCTCCAGGGGATCAAAAGTAATATATAAACTTTTAATAAATATTGATATAGCTTCACGTTGACTCCATATGTGAGCAATTTGCTTTCTGTTAAATTCACAATTGCATAATTTTTTTCAGGCTGGAATGCACTTGGATGCCAGAGATTTTGATTTCTTCATGTGACATAAGGTGATAATACATTCCAAAGTATATATTTTTTCAACTTTGAATATATCTGGTGTATTTGGAGTAATATCTGAGTAAATACACTTATATGTAAGAGAATCAAAGGAACAAGATATTATTTTATATCCAAGGAAATTAACACTTAGAACATAAATACGTATTGCATTACTTCATATTAAAGAAATGTTTTACAAAAGAAAATAAAGGAGCTTATTTTATAGCCCCATTTCCACAAATAATAGCAAAGGTACATACACATATCTAATGTTTTACACACTCATTATTGTTTCTCTTAAAATTTGTTGCTTATACTATTTTAAAAGGCAAGCCTATAGATTGTTGTGTGTATATACATATACACACAACATACATATGTGTGTGTGTGTGTGTGTGTGTGTGTGTGTGTATATATATATATATATATATATATATCAGCAAGCAAGAGAATGGGCCTCTTCCTACTGAGGTTTAACATTTGCATGTATATGTATATTTTGATTCACATAGACTTATTGTTCTTTAATTACATGAACAGTGATTCCTGGTTACATTATTGGAAAATGGAAGCAATGCTCAAAGAGCATCACCTAAATTTCCATCATATTTTGCTCTCAATATGTTTTGTACATCCAAATATATTGTGATTAATCTGCATACATTTTTGCTGTTCTAGGTGACGCTGGTATGAGGCTAGGTAATACACGACCTTAGTCTGCATGTTGTACTTGTGTAACACACATAATTTTACAGTGCTAACAGGTGCTATAATAACTAACTATAGTTAATGATGAATGAAAGAAGGAAGATGTTAAGATGTTAGGGAAGGACTCAAAAGATGCAGTGCTTGAGTTAGAATTTTAAGGGAGATTGTGCAAAAGCAGTCACTTAAGGTGGGTCGGGATGATCTAGAATGTGGGAATGATGTATGCAAAGTCACACAGGAGAGATACAGCATGCATGTTTAGAAAATTGTTGATTACATATGGAAAGTTTGCAGGACTTGCATCCTAGAATGTCAGGATTTTAAGCTAAGTAGGGTTCAAATTAAATTTTTCACATACTTCGCTGCATTATAATAACTAGTTTATGTTTAACTCATCCACTAAACTAAGTTATTTGAAAAGAGATGCCAGTGTTCACTCAATCTAGTTGTCTGTCATTAATAATTTAAAAATAATTGAGATTTTAATTTTGGTCTGCTAAGCCTGTTTAATTAAAATTTGACATTAAATAAGATTTTACAGGCCTCATTTTTTTTTTTCAGTCATCACAGTTTGAATATTAAACATTACTACTTTTATCTCCCTCAGTCAGCATAAAACATACTACTTATGGTTTTAATAACCAAATTCAATGAGCACCAACAAAATTTGATGTAACTATTAACTTTGAAATTTTGTTGAAATAGAACTATGCCTTGGGTATCATTCAAAGCATTTAATTGTTGCAATAAAAAACTTTGAGATAAATTGAAATGATGGACAATATGGGTCGAAAGCAACACTGGCTTGAGGGAATAGGCTAATGTTTGAGAACAGAATTGTTAAGGACAAGATTGGATGTTTATATTACTTTAGGAAAGACACACTCTAATGGAGTTTAATTCTAAAATGTTTAATATTATGAAAATATTATATGTTATATGATCATTATAGAAAATTAAAAATATAAGAACATCAGAAGCAAAATAGTCAAAGTCTACCTAAACCCAATTAGAAGTGAATACTATTAATCTTGATTTGCATGTTTCTAATCTTATTATTATCAAATTAATAAACAGCTTTCAGATATTCTGCTTCTCCCTGTTACTAGATCAGGATAATGTCATTTATGTACAGGCATCTCCTGCTTACTCAGTTCAGCATTGATCAATAAATATTTTAGACTTCTATTCAAAACACTTCCATTTTTCTTTTGCCCATATTCTTTTTATTCAGTGCTGCCTGTTTTCAAATACACAACACTTTGTCAAACAAATTCCAACATTAGATTGGATATAGTTGGTATCAGAGTAGTAATACACATTGCCATTCCTAATCCTCAGTGCATTGATCCTGAAAATTATTTGTAAGAATAGAAAAATACTGGATATTTCAAATTAAGTCTCATTTTGTTGCTTACCCATGAAAGACTGGAATTAACCAACATAACCATTACAAGGTGATTGAGCAAATGAATAGATGGAAAATATTATAGAAACTTTACTGCAGTTCATCAACCATTGTGGTCATTAGGCCGTAGGAAAATACAGTGTGACAGTACCCCTGTCTTCTTTTCCATTTGTTAAGTCTCATATCCAAGTAACAGTGGGTAGACCTTATGAGAACCCAAAGTGAGATAAAAATAATTTTTGGCTTTTCAATGTATCTTATTTGATCTAAGAGGTATTTCCCCGACTTTGATGCAATAATTCTTGTCACAAAATTTGACTTTACTGAAGACCGTTTTAAGGATCTTTGCAGCTGACAGCAGTGACTTTTTTACCTCCTACAAAGTTTCAACTGACAGTCTTATTGTCTCTGACTTTCCCAAATTAATGACATAATTAGTCACCAGGGCTTTGGCTGCTCAATAGGGATTTAGTAAGCAATGAGTCATATGTTGGGGAACACTTCAACAAACAAAATGTTGGCAGAGAAAGATGTATGAATCAGCTAGGAAGAAACACTATTCTATCACTGAGGATCTTTCTAATATTAGATATCACAGAAAAATTTTCATATAGATTACCATATGAGTGAGCCAAAACCTCTAGGAACAAAAAAGCTTAGTATAATTATAACTCCTTGCCATGATTTAACTTAAAATTTCTTTACTTATTTAGCAATTCTATAAACAAGAATCATTTCTGTTAAGGATACTAAGGAGAGTGTTCCTATTGAATCAGAACATTTAAAAGAAATAATTGAGGGAACTCACACATGTAAAACGTCATTAACCAAACTAAAATAAAATGTGAGGGCATAAACTTAACCAGAAATGTTTAAAACCTATATATAAAAAAAACTAGAAAACACTTCTGAATGGCACAAATTTGGACTTGAGCACGGGGAAAGAAATTCCATGCTCTTGAAAAAGCCTTAAAATCATAAATGTGCCAGTTCTTTAAATAAACTTATATCTTCTGTGTCATAACAAAACGACATTTTCTAGAATTTCTTTTTCCAGATTTAGAAAAATAGACAAATTTACTTGGAGGAATAAAGAAGCAAGAATAGCTAGAAATATCCTATAAAATCAATGGAATTTGGAGTCAATACAAAATATTAAGCAATTCTTAAAGCTTCTATGATTAAAATGAGTTATAACTACAGATAGATGAAGATCATATAGAAAATCAAGACATTGACAGATATGGAAAGGTGGTATATAATGAAAACATTTCAGATCAATGAGGGGGAAATGTTAACCGGAAAAGAATATTAAAAAGGCAATGAACTCAATAAGACAACAAGAAGCAAACCACAGAAAAATAACTGGACTGGATTAGAAAGAAAATATTTTAGACACTTCAAAAATAAAATATTCAAATAACCAATGAACTTATTAAAAGGTTTTTATTTATATTGGTTACCTGAAAAAATAATTCAAACCACAATGAGATGTAAGTACTTGTCATTCAGAATCCTGAATTTGAAAGGAATATTTTAGAATTCTAAGTTGAAGAGAAAGTGCAAAGTATTGATGAGAATGTTGACTAATTAGAACACTCAAATTGATGTTATTGGCATAACTTAGTTCAAATAATTTGGATAAAGATATGTATTAGGCCCCAAAATTCTACTTGTAAAGATGGTTTCTCCAGAAATGCATGCATATATATAGCTAAAAAAAATGTGTACTCATGAAAACACTTTTCAGAATAACACCAAAATAACCCCAAACTGTGGCCCAAAAGTGGACTAAAATACTTATAAAGAGTACAGTAAACAAATAAGTTGTAATATGATCACCTAATAAAATATTAGAGAAATAAATATAAATAGTTTCATTTGCAGGTCATATAGTCAATTCGTCTCACAAATATAATATTAAGCAAAAAAATGTGGTTCAAAACACTACACACACTATTTGATTCCTTACTGGTAAAAGTTAGAATAGTGTTATGTTAGGAGGGATGGGTGGAAATCAGGTGTGTGACTATTACATTTTCTTATTCTGGATGATCATAGTATTTTAAAACTCACTAAGCTTTAAACTTATGTGCATTTACCCATGTGTATACAATACTTTAATAGAAGCTTCAAATCAATGAGAAAACATGAAACTGTCTGATGGAAAAATAGCTTGAGGAAATGAACAGGTATAGCAGAAAAGAAGGGCTGCATATAGTTTAAAAACTTGAAGAGATGTTTAATCTCTTTGCAAATAGAAAAACATACGCATTTAAATTGAAATACCATTTTCATGTTCCAAAATTAAAATTATTAGAAATATGATGGTATACAGTGATGGTAATATGGGAGAAAGGAAACATCCTAGGCAATTTGGCTAAGCTTTTCTGAGAAAGATTTAGGCAATATGCCATTAAAAGATTTAATGTGAACAAATGGGAAATTTGCCCACATAAATAAATGGAAAGATACTCTATTTTTCCTAATTTAATCTGAAAATACCTAAGCCCCTGATATTTTAGAGACATAATTTTCACTGCGATGGTCATAATTTTAAAAGGTTGCATCATCCATTTTTAGTTAACATATATTGTACTAACATCACATATCTATGTAACAGAAAAATAGAGTCAACTCATGTAGGGACAGACATGAAAATGACAAATACATATAGAGATAGAAAGGTATCTTGTGCATTATACTGAGAAAGACAATAGAAATAAACAATTTACATGGGTTGATTTATTTTGATTAAGATATATAAGTGGTTAGATAAATGTTAAATAGGTCAGTATGTAATTACAGAAAATGACAAATTGTTATGTATGGTACATTTGTAGGCATAACACAGACATTACATTTTGGAAAATTGTGTTCTATGCAACAGTGCCAAGTCTAATGAAAGTAAGAGGAAGAGGAATTCAGCCAAAGTACCAACCCCTGTTATCCATTCCTTAAGAAAGGAACTTCTTTATACACTCAAAAGAGGGGATTCTTTTTAAATTTGTTTCCAGAGGGGCATCTGCATACACATACACATACACACACACACACACACACACACACACATTTACATTATATTTAAATGTGTGTGCATGATATATATATATACATGTATTTATTTATTTAATATATATGTGTTATCTGGGTCCTATATAGGAACACACACACACACACACACATTTTGAATCAAACACTCTTTCGTATAATTTTGGTGACAAATGTATGCAATAAATGAGAATACTTTAACTTTCCAAAAAGCTATTCAAAAGTATAATTTTCAAATAAAATATATGTTTGTATGACAACAAATGATTTTTTACAAATAATATATTCTGCATTATCAATCTGCCACTGGTTTTTATTAAATAAAAAAACCTGTAAGTTTGTATGCTCTTAAAATACATATAACATTTGTAAGAATAGTTTTTATGTAAAAATAATTATAGTTCACTATAACTATGTTAAAAATAGACATAGCCAGGCAAGTCGCTCATGCCTGTAACCCAGCACTTTGGTAGGCTGAGGCGGGCAGATCACTTGAGGCCAGGAGTTCAAGACCAGTCTGGCCAACATAGCGAAACCCCATCTCTAATAAAAATACAAAAATTAGCCGGGCATGGTGGCCCATACCTTGTAATGCCAGCTACTCAGGAAGCTGTGGCAGGAAGATTGCTGGAACCCGAGAGGCGGAGTCTGCAGTGAGACAAGATCATGCCACTGCACTCCAACCTGGGTAACAGAGTGAGACTCTGTCTCAAAAAAAAAAAAAAAAAAGAAAAGAAAAGAAAAGAGAAAAATAGACACAGATGAAGGGTGTCTTTGATTATGCAAATAGATTACCCATCTTGTACTCACTGTGTTTATTTCAATAAATGATCCACAGAATATGCTACTTTTGATTTATAGTTTTCTTCTCCTTCACCGCTGTGGACTGGGAAAATATTTCTTATTATTTCTGCTGCAGAGTAGCAAAAAATTATGAGCCAGAAGGAAGACCACTACAACAAGCAAAATCTCTGAGTAATCATAAAATGAAGAACTATTTCCTGTTGGGATTCACTGTGACGAATTTGATTTTAAATTCTTGATGTTGGCATTTTATTTTTAAAACTTAGCTTTCTTGCCTATTCTGAAATTGTCAAAAATTCAGAAAAACAATCATGATCATTTGCTTGCTGACCAGTGGAGACCTACTGATTTTTAGGCTGTGAGACTACAGTAATAAATAAATAAAAAAGTTCATACTTCCTTCTATCGAGGGAAATTGAGCATTTTTCTCATAGTCCTAAATCACCAGATCAAGGGATATATGTAATACTTGAGTGTTGACATTTTATTAATTTTTATATTTAACTAGAGCTGTAAAGTTGAAACAAATGGGTCAATGCAGTAGCCCATAAAATATTTTAAAAACACATAAAAGAAATATCACTAAAATTTAAACATAAAAAAAATACAAAAAAACCCTGAGCTATAGGAAGGGAAGTATCCTCTAAATGCCCAAGTTGAAGGTAGTCCTCTTAGAAAGGCACAGTAAGAAGCAGTGTTTGATGGGAACGTGATTTTTCAAGTATTTGAATTTTCAAACTCACCACATTAACTGAGTAAAATGAAAAAAATATATAAACTTCCTCTGAGGCAGAAAAAACATTTGGCATTTTCAAGATAGAATTATAATAAAAATATCTCGCCCCAATAGAATACAAAGAAGCATCCTTAAGCAAATAGAAGGCATCTACGGAAATATCACACTGAAGTTTGAACTAATAAATTATTCATTTAAGATCCAGAAGAAGACAAAGTGTCCTCTTTCACTATTGTTCTCTCTACTGTATGGGAGGAATTAACCAGTGAGACAAATCAAATAAATAAGTAAAACATACACAGTTAAGAAATGAAAAATACAATTCTAAATTTTTAAACAACTCCATTACCTACACATAAACTTCTAGTGACTGTAAAAATCAGCTGCTGGAATAAACTAGTAATTTTAGCCACATCATAGAAAAAATAAGTCAACCCATTAACTTATTTCTATATATTTCCAATGAGCAATTAATGATAAAAATCAAATCCATGTAAAATACTAATAAAAATAAAATATGTATATATGATTTTAACAAATTACATGCAAGATCTCTCTAAATAGGAAACTAGCAAAAGTGTTGGGAGATGTAGGAAAGTTCTAAATAAATGGAGTCGCATACAATAATTGATGGTTTTGATGTGTGTCCCTGCCCAAATCTGGTATGATGTAATCTCCAATGTTAGAGGTGAGGCCTGATGGGAGGTGATTGGATCATGGGGTGGATTTCTCATGAGTGGTTCAGCATCATCCCTCTTGATACTGTTCTCATAATAGTGAGTGAGTGAGTTCTCATGAGATCTGGTCATTTAAAAGTGTGTAGCAGCTTCCCCTTTCACTCTCTTGCTGTTCTGGCCATGTGACGTGCCTGTCCCCCTTTGCTTTCTGCCATGATTGTGCGTTTCCTGAGTCTTCCCAGAAGCTAAGTAGATGCCAGCATCATCCTTCCTGTATAGCCTGCAGAACAGTGGGGCAATTAAACCTCTTTTCTTCATAAATTGTCGAATCTTCTGTATTTCTCTATAGCAATGCCGGAACAAACTAATACAATAATCATGGCTTGAAAGTTCAGTGAATTTTAGTGTGTAAAAGGTTTTGGTTTTTCCAAATTAATCATTCTAGAAATCCTCACCATAATCACAAAAGATATTTTTATATAAATTGACACACTGATTTAAAAATGTACATCAAGAGAGCAAAAACAAATGATAGAAAGCTGAAAAAAAAGTTGGAATACTCACACTTCCTAACACCATGCAATAACTTAAAGCTATAGTCATCGAGAGAATGTGTTATTAGTAGATGGATAAACAATTAGAGTAATGGAATGGAATAGAGTTCACAAATAGATCCATGCTTATATGAATAATATAATATCAAAGATACTGCAGTTATTCAAAGGGGAAAGATAATTTTATTTAACAAAGTGTGCAGAACTACGAGATAAATGTGAAGAAAACAAACCTCAAGTCCTTCCTCACAACAAAAGCGTGAATGAGTTCAAAATTAAAGGAGTCCAAAATATATTATGGAACAATGTGTAAAAGTGAAAGCATAGGCTTCAAATATAAAGCACAGAAAATGTCTTAGTAAACTACATGAAAGCACTTCTTTTTATCCAAACTGTGGATACATTTCTTTTTATTCAGAAAGCAATAATTATATAATGATAAACTACAGAAATGTGTAAATATATTTATACTTTAATGTTTATTTTTAATTACACAATTATATATACTATTTATTATGAATAAGAGCAAGAATATATAAATATAATGTACAACATAGAAACAAGAGAGCTATAAAAACTAACAGATGCTACACAAAAATGATATAATAGCAAATAAGCAAATGAAAAATTTCTTAATATCGTTAGTAATAAAAAATAAAATGAGATAATTATACACATCTACTAGAAAAGCTACTATTTTAAAAATTGTGTTACCAATATTTGGCATAGATGTCAAGAAACCAGACTCTAGAGTTTGCATACATCGACGGTGGGAGTGTAACACAGTACAGCTACTTTGGATAACTAAATCTACCTTACATGTACCAATTCTACCCCTAGGCATTTATCCTAGGGGGGAGAAAAGCATAAGTCTGTAAAAAGGCTTGCACAAGTACCTTTATTCATTATTGTCAAAAACAGACACCATGCAACTGTCCACCAAGAGCGGCGTTCTCAAGTTCAGCACTATTAGCTGTTGAAGTGGCTTAATTCTTTGTTGTGGGGAGCTATCCTTTGTGGAACCCTGGCCTGTGGACACTCTATCCCCTCCTCCACAAACCTCTGATAACCAAAAGTGTCCCCAAACATTGGAAATGTCCCCGGCAGGTAAAATGTCCCTCATTTGAGAACCTCTGGTCAAGAGTTTAGTAAATAAATTATAGTGGTATGTCTATGAAATGAAATAATACGTAACAATAAAAAAAGGTGCTACTTCAACATGCAAGAAATTGTTGAATCTCAAAAATATTATGCTTAAGGAAAAAAGACAAAAAGAATTCATACTCTATAATTCTACTGATATATAATTGTAGAAAATAAAAGCTAATATATGGTAATAAAACCAGATTAGTACTGGATTGACAATGTGTTGAAAGTCAAAAGAAGAGGCTTGAGATCTCTTTCTAGTGTGATGGTTTTACAAGTATATACGTATGTTAATGTTTAAAAATTTCACACCTCAAAAATGTGCAGTATACCAGATGTTAATTATATCTCATAAAGCTATTAAAATTTTATCTCAAAATTATAGCTTTATTGCATTTAGGGCATTATCCAATTTTGAATCTAGTCCAGTTATCATAGCTTAATGCAGTATTATGAAAATAATGCCTATAAAGGTCCAGTTCCTCAAACACCCTTGGAACCAATTTTGTCATCTATATTAGTTACCTTGGGCTGCTATAATGAAGTACCACAAGCTGTGTGTCTTTAAGCAACAGAAATTTCTTCCCTCACAGTTGCGGAGGTCAGAGGTCAGAAAACAAGGTGTCTGCAGGACCAACCTCTCCTCTGGATGCTCTAGGTGAGAATCTTTTCCATGCCTTTCTCTTAGCTTCTGATGTTGCCATCAGAACTTCAGATGGTGTTCCTTGGCTTCTGTCAATATTAATACATAAATCCTTTTCAGTCTCAGCTTCTCTCTTCACATGGTCCTCTCCACATCCTATCTGTTTCTGTTCCCTCTTCTTATAAAGACAACCCATGTTATTTTAAGTCCCACCTACAGAGATAATTTTAGCTTGATTACATCTGCAAAAACTTTGTGTCCAAATGAGGTTTCATTTACCTTATGTGTATAACTAGGGGTTAGGGCTTGAACATACGGGTTTGGGGAGGGGAACACAGTTCAGACCATGACACTCATTGTTTCACTCATTAATGAGTTAAGGGTGCTTTGATATTATTACATTTGAATGAGAGTGGTCTTTAAAATTACATTTTGTCGTGTAGTTTGTTCCACCCTGATGCTTAAAGGGAGTCACCTGCCTCAGCCAATTAAACTGTGTTGTCTCTGCAGTGCGTTTTATCACAAGAACATGACCTTCAAGCACAAGAACACCTTGTACTCCACCACTAAAAACAGAAATGACATCTACCTTCACTGCTTCCCTATTTCTCTCCATCTTTACTGACTTGGTATTTTGTTGTTGCTGTCATTTCTGGTTGTTGGTCAATTTTCATTTCTGTTCTTATTTTGCTGATAATTCTTATAAATCAGTGCTGAATTTTGTCAAATTATTTTTCTGCATCTCTACAGATGATCATTTTATGTTTTCGTCCCTGTGATAATTTAGTGAATGTCATTGATCAATTTTTAAATAATGAATATCTTTGCATTTAAGATAATATTTTTCACTATTAATGTTATCTCTGAAATGAAAGCTAAACCTAGTCAATAGATATTAGAGGTGCATGATTTTTAAAATTGTATAAAATTAGATAAAAAATACAAAGAAATATATATAATTTTAAAACTATGTAAAAATGTAAATGCCAAATGATAGAGCACTAAATGAAGCTTGTAATATTAAATACAATCTTTAGAAACTCTTTTGCAGTGCAGGAAAAAAATAGAACTGAAAACAAAGCAGAAGAAATCACAGATATAAAATTAAAGAGGATAGAATTAAGCACCGGAGTTCCCACATCTAAAGTGAAAATCTAAGAATTTAAATATCATTCAAATGCAGACTAAAATACAATATAAAATAAAATTTCCTGAGCTAATTTTTAAAATACTGCTTAATTTGTAGGTAAAAATGCAGACTAATTTTCTGACTATATTACTATAAAAACCTTCTACAAATATTTTTTAACTAAAATTATAAGAAAAACATCCGCCATAAACACGTAAGATTAGTATTTTCGTTTCTGAAGTATAAAATGTCTGGATAGACTTGAGCTTGTTGCTTTAGTTTTATATGTGAAGACTGGAAAAATTCTGTTTTGTTTTGAAAAATATTTTGAGCTAAAAATGTTGTATTCCACATTTGTTAGGAATGGAAGTCTTTAAAATATGAAATATTTCCAATTGAAGAAAAATAGTGAAAATGAACTTTATCTGAATAAGATTAATGAAAATTACATGTTGAAAAAGTAAAATAGTTATGTGTACTAACAGTGACTACTAACCCAACAATATAAAATTAAGTAAAAATATTATTACCATGTTAAATACAAATTAAAATTAATTATAAAAAAGTTAAGATCTATGATTAAAGTATTAAAATAAAATGAGACTGTATTCACAAATCTAAAAGCAAATTGGTGAATGACATATTTTTTGAAATAATAAATTCTTTGGCATATTTTATATTTTTTATTATAAATGAAAATTATTTATTTGAAATATTTAAAGGAACAAAATATTTGCAGCTCTATTTTATTGAGAAAGGAATTACAAAACAAAAACAAGGAGCTTTTGTAATTACAAAAGAATATATTAATAATATTATTTAGAAGCACAAAACCAGAAAAGCTTTATATTATTTCTAACAATAAATGTAAACCATCTAATTTTCTGAAAAGGGGTGGAAATAAATATTTAACAAAGAAGATGTTATTCTTAAATTGTAATATGTACATTGCCTAAAAATAAAAAGGTAGTTGAAGATATATTGTGAACAACAAAAAATGAAGAGCTGATAATATTAATGTGCGAAGGAAACTCATAACATATTGTACTAATTATAAATCAGTGTATTGACAAAACCTGAGTCCTCAATTATTATTGACTGTTATTGACATGTTAATGATAGAATATTAAATATAGAATATAATAAAGCAATTTAGAATAAAAAAGAGAAAGCGATAGACATGAATAGAAACAAAATGCAACTGTTCAATATTAAAAGCCTTTCTAAATTGCTTGTGTTTTTCTAGTGACCTGTTTCGCTATGCAGTGTAGGCTCAGGTGTCTAGATTTTAGTTGCAGATAAACACAGGTAGTGTTTTCCAGATCTCAGAATGACCAGTTACATAAAAATAGGCCATAAACCATATATTTCATTCTTACGGTTGACAAACCTCTAATTCACCTGAAAATATTAAAAAGAAAGAAGACAGACGTGACAGTGGTTGGAAGTTGAGGATAAGAAGAAGTTGGCAGAAATAAGCTTTCTTCTTTTGGACAGCAATGCATGATAAAAAAAATTAAACTAAATTCAGTTCATTTCCACTAACTGGGACTTATTTAGAAACTTTAAGAAAGTCTGAAGAATTTCAATTGAGGAGTAAATAAGGGCCAATTTATTTCATAGTGTGGACTCTCAAGACAATATACAACAGTGCTTCTCAAAGTTAAACAGTGTATGAGTGACCTGGAAATGAAGATGCAGATTTAATAGGGCTGGAGAGAAGTCTGAGATTCTCAATTTCTAATGAATTAAATTACAAAGAGGAGAAAATAAGGTTATTGCTTACTTTATATACATTCACAAACACAGGCTAATCAAATAATTGTTTAAAGTATTGCTCTGATAAGAATTAAATTACATAGTTCATAGGAAACATTTTCTTTACATTCGGATTTTATCTATTATTAGAATAATAATAGAATCTTGACTTTATGTAACTCTATGTTCCAAACAACTAGAAACTTTTCGATAGCAATTGTTCACCATTTAATAACATTTTTCCAAGATACCTAATGCACTCAAGGACAAAATAGCTGCCTTCCAGTGATTTCCAATTTATTCAATTTTCAGGCCATCTGTCTGCCCACACAATGACAGATTATAGTTACATTCTTGCCATGCTCTGAACAGCTAAGCCAATTGTTTTCAATCTTTTTTCTTCAGCAACTCCATCTCTTAAAGTACTTCAGAGTAGTTCCTGAAAGGATTCCTCTTTAGATAAATGGCTATACAGCTCTCCCATCATCCAAAATAATCAGTGGAGAGATAGCAATATTTTTCATTACATTAGGCCAAGTTCCATTGCTTCCTTCATCTTGTAATCTGATCAGAAACACCACTATAGATTCAATAATTGAGTTTAGAGTTTCAGAGAATTTGGGGTCACAGAACATCTATGTCTATTTTGTAAAGATTATTGCATATTACTGAAATAGCTTGTCAAACACTGCAGTCTGCTTAAAGTATCAAAATAGAAATGTTGAATGCTGTGTCTGCACAGAGTTCATTTAAGCAAAGAATCTACTAGGCTCTTAAGTCTGTTAATGCAAATTCCTGAATACAGCTGACCCTCCATACCCCCATTGTGGGTGGATTTAACTAACCATGAATCAAACATATTTGTTAAAAGAAATACCAAAAATAATTTTTAAAAAGAAATACAACAATAAAACAATGCAAATAAAAAACAATCCTTATAACAATTATGTGCATAGCATTTATATTGTATTCAGTATTATTAATGTAAGTAATCTGGAAATGATAGAAAGTATACAAGAGGGTGTGTGTAAGTTATATGCAAATACTAGGCCATTTTATATAAGAAACTTGAGCATCTCTGGCTTTTGCTATGAAGGGATGATGGTGGTAGGATTGGTGGTGGTCCTGGAACAAATCCCCAGCAGGTACCAAGGGGGACTGTAGACCCCAAAGCTGTTTAGGAATGGGTCACAGCAGCAGGACTGAGGCAGGAATGCTCCCCACAGAAAACATCAACCACCTGTTGATTTTTGAATCTGCTCCTCTCAGGCATGCCTTCAAATGCTATAACCTGGAGATTCAACTCATTTTCATGCTGCTAAGTAGGAATAGGTGATTCAATTCCCCAAGAAAGTGACAGAGGTCCCTGAAATATAGATTTAAAGTTACATAGTGTCAAATGCTAGTCATTTTCTTTTTGCTCGATGGTATCCTCTCAGAAAAACCTTTTATAATATTTCTAATTCATTTACCAGATTTATAGAATCATCAAATTGTCTATCCATGTGTTTTTCAAATATTTTGTGAAGTGTCTAGGGTAACAACCTAGTGTTCGAACGTATTTTGTGAAGTGGCTAGGGTAACAACGTAATGTTCGAACTTATGTTCGTATTTAAATACAAATGTATTTTGGTTGAGTGATTACTCAAGGTCACTGAGGAATCCACAAGGTTAACCTCCTGACTCTAGAACCATTGTTATATAGAGATATATAAATAGCTGATTTAATATTATAGGCTTAGCAAAATATTTAATAAATAAGGTCTTAGTAAAACAACACACATGTATTTATCCACTTATTTAATTTTGTTTTTCCATTTCTTCTGAACATAAGTTCCTGAGGACACGGGCCTTTTTTCACAGTTCATTTTTGGATTCCAACATCTAGCCAGTACTTTGCAAAGAGCACTGAATTTGAAAGAAATTTCTCAGTTAATGATTTGAATCATATAAAATATTTAGTAAATTTGAAAACTAGTAACCGTGTAAAGCGATTAAAACAAACATACTAGAGGGTAATAATCCCCCGCCCCTTGCCTTCTTCCTTTACATCCACTTCATTCCTATTCTTGTCTACTTCCCCTGCCCCACCCAGGGAACGTGGTTAGCCCATCAACTGCAAAGACTGTTCTCATATAATATTGTTCTGATGGATAATGAGACTCTGAAAGTGGAACATAAACAGATAAAACAAAAACAAACAGAAAAGAACCCAAAAACCTAAACTCAACTTCAGTTAAAGCAGAAAATATCTGTCCAGCCTAAACCAGGCATACTCCACAGACTTCTGTTAGACGCCTGATCCTACTTCAGTCTGGAACCACCTAGTCTTCAGGTTTGCCTGGTGCTCACCAGCTGAAGAAATCCTTTAACGACCTTTATTCAGTCAAGTAAATCGTTTTCTTTTGGCAACTTGCATGTTATTTTTTAGGTTTTCATTTATTTATTTTTTTATATTTAAAGTCATATTTTCTTCCTTTTATTCACTTTGCTGGTCTTTCTCACTTTGATTTTTTTTTTTTTTTGCCTTGTTTTGCATTTGTTTACTTTAACATTTTTTGTAACTTATCTCTTTTATTTTGGAAATTATTCACATTATCAGTTTTCTTTTGCTAGGCAATTTTGATATTCTAATAAACATTATTAACATAAAATATAAAGTTTACTAACACCAAGCCCAAACAATACAAAGTCTTAGGGCTCTTTAATTGCAATTATTTAAAAATATTTGCTACAAATTGTTCATTATTTTATATTCATGTTGTTTTTCTTATTCCCACAAATCACATATTGTTGGTGTGTTTGTTAAATAAAATTGTGACTGCTTATATATGTTTTTTCACATCCTTTCTTCTTCTAATATTTTGGAATTTACATCCAGTTAATTATCCTTTATTCTATGGTACATACTGTAAAAGTTACTATTCTTGGTAGTAAACTCTCAGTTTTTGGATTGTCTGAAGATGTCTCTATTTTGATCTGCTCTTGAATTCTAAATCTAATTGACATAAAATTCTAGATTTGCCATTATCATTTATTAGCACTTCAAAGATATTCCACAATTTTCTGACTTTCAATATTTTTGTTGGTAAAAATGGTGATTGTTAATTGGCTTGCATATTCTGTTTTGGATATTCCACTGTTTCCTTATAATTTGTTTATTTATAAGGAAACTTATAAACAAATTATAAGGAAACAATAGAATATCCAAAATAAAGAGAATAGTTATGGGTTCGTATAGATAATTCTTCAGAATCTACTAATTTGTGTCTTTCTTCTTTACTTCTGTAAACTTTTCAGCTACTATATATTAGAATATTTCTTAACTTTTTTATATTCATTCTGAAATTTCTTGCTGAAATTTGTTCAGAAGGTGAGTTAACGGAGCTATACATCTTTAGTGTCATGTGCTCTAAATTGCAAAATACATGTATTTTTATTTCAGACAACTTGAGCAACATTTGTGCAAATGTTTTATATACACGGACTTAATTTGGTAAATTTAGGCATGTGGTAGACAAATTTAAAAATGTATAAAAATCGTGGGCAAGCATATGAACATTCTATTTTTGCTACTATAAAAAAATAGCAGACTATCCAACTATTTTATGATACTCAACGATACATCTTACTAAATGGTCACGACTCTTGCCTCTCAGGGTCAGAGTTTGCAATAGTGAAAGCAAGAGAAAGCCACGGAAAAAAAAACAGGGAGAGGGAAAATATTAAGCTCTAGAATATGTACATTGTTTTGCTTGTATAAATTTAGAACATTCAACACATGTTTACAATGAATACATATAAAATACCAATGACATGAGGAGAATTAGAATAGAAATAAATACAAGGATTCTTTCATGATAACTAAAAATATCAGTGAAGGTTTGTACATAAAATTTAGGGATTTTATATTATTACCTAATACAATTCTGGCTATAACATCACTAAAGGATTGTAAACGTCTGCTGGGAAACCTATGGGAAAAAAATGCAAGTGGAACTGGTGTCATACAAACACATTTTCTAATGGGAAGCTTAACTGGTGAAATGTAAGTTGGAAACATTACTCAATTTAGGTCTATGAAAATGTTTTCCCAAATACAATCTTTTCTTGTTTGATAGGAGGTTTTACTGTGATGTATTATTTCTGACAGCCTCTTTTTTTTTTTTTTAAAGGAAACGAGTAGAATTAAGTGAATTGATTATCATATCTAACCTGTAAGTACAAATTACTTTCCCTTGGAATTACATAATTGATAATTGTACATCCTCAGATGTGTTTGAATCTGAGATTTACTCTAAACTCAGAGAAAAAAAAGTGAAATTTTGTTTCCATTGTGGCACCTTTGTTTCCTTTTTAAGTTTTCAAAATTTCTTAAAAATTATTTTTCCCTTTCATAATTTATTCAACAAGTATCTATTGTTAGGTGTTGGGAACACAAGACCTAAAACTCCTGACAAATATATTCTATTTATGAGGTCAATTTGTACATTAATAAATGCATATATAATACCAGACAAGATTGTAATGCTAACCAGTTTGACTTTGAGGCACGGTATTCAGAATGTAAATGCCCCTGGAAAAAACATTGAATATAAATGCCCCTGGAGAAAGAATGTAGTTGGAAAAAACATTCTGAGGTAAAATTATGCAATATTGGTATGACTAATTAGAGTGACCAGAGGTTCACACATTTTTGTGACATGCCATTGGTAGAAAAAGAGCCATAGCTGAAAAAATATGGCAGTCATAAGATGTCAGTGGAAATGAAGACAAGGATACCTTTTGGTCAATTTTCTTGAAAATATTGGCTTTTTCAACAGTGTAGTTTATTTAAAATTTAGTCCCAGTTCTTAGCAATTATTTATATACTGATGGACTTATATCCAGGGTCTTCTTGAATTAAAAAAAGTCAAAAAATAATTTTATAAATTTAAAATATTATAAAATTATGATATATACAATTCTTGCTCTCTCTGTCATATTTTTCCAATTTTTTGTCTGTCTTGTTTTTTCTTGCCTTTTCTTCCCTGTCCTTTCCCTTTCGTTTCTTTTCTTTTTGTTTCCTTTGTCTGGCCTTGCTTTGAGTTTCTTTTCCAAACGAATTCACTGGAGGTGGTATTTTTATGCATAATATACACAGCAAATGTCTAGGGCCTCTCATTTTTTACAAATCTTTGTAAGAAAAGGCTATCTATTAACCCAATGACATTGTCATAACCTTTTCTAAATTTCAATGATATTCAGTTTCTCACAGCTATTACATTACAAAGTATACCTCAGTAAAAATCTAGTAGGTCATAGGGCTGATGTTGCTGATTGCTCACTTGCTCAAGCCAGAAGCTTAGAATACATGCTTGATTCTTCACTTTCCTGTGGGTTTATGCCAAATCAATTTCAAATCTATAGATCTTATCCTCTAAATAACATACAGCATGCCTACTTTTTTCTCTCTCTCGACTACTGTCACATTAATTCAAAAGAAAAAGACTGATGATTCCTAACTTCCTGGCTTCAGTAATTGGCAACGATGACATCACTACTAAGGCTTCACTTCTCACCTCTGCTTCCATATGAGTGTAATGTTATTTTCTCCTATGACAGATAAGTTTATTTTTCACCATTAAAAGGTAAGAAACTCACGCATAACCAAAGTTGGAGGAGACAGTTATTTTTTTTCCCCAGCTTGCCTGTTAAAACCATAAGGAATGATTAATCTGCCATGGTGCTTGATGTGGCCCAGGGATGTGCTCAGACTCAGTCATGTAGGGGCAGGTGGTATTAACATTAGTTCAAACATGGAACCATGGCATGTGTTAGAAATAATGGCTTATATTAGAAACCGGACATAAAATTGTCGTGAGCAAGAAAGTTACCTCAATTTGAGTCTACTAGAAGTTTCAGAGTGCCATTTCACATGGCCACAAAGTTCAAAAGTTCCAAAAGAAGCAAAAGTTTGACCAAGAAATCAGTGATTTTTTAAAAAAGAGAAATTGAGCTCAATCATGTTTTTTATATCTTCTACTGTACTAAAAGTTTTTTTCTCAATAATTGACTAAAAGTTCATTAACTACTGCACAGACTTCAATATTTAGAAATGTAATACGGGCTTGCTAACTAAAAGTGAAGTTATTTTATTGTCGGAACTAGCTATTGTTAGAAAGACTCATTTGCTTTTTATAATACAATTTTACATATGATTTATAGATTTACAGATTATAACAATTTATAGATTATTACCTCATTAATTTATTGAATAACCTGACTAAATTACTTAGTCACTGAATTAAATACAACCCAGCCTTAATACTTTGGGTCAAGGAACATTGACCAAATATGTATTTATGCCACAGATTCCTTGAAATTTCTTACCAAAGTAAATTGTTTCATGAAAAATACAGAAATAAATTGGTAACTAAATAAAACATGTTCTATATTTCAACTTGAAAAATTAAAGAAATTAATAATTCTTAAAATCAAAGCAATGATCATTTGTTTCCTAATTATTATTATTGTGAATGTACTTAAAATTTTTGCTATGCTTTTAAGAAAGATGTACTTCTATTAAAAATTATTAAAATAAACAGCAGAGAGACTGACTTTTCAAAATAGTTTATCTGGGAAGAGCAATGAACTGCAATTTGGGATATGTGTACCGTACTGAACCATAGGCACATTTGAAAAAGCTGGGGGAGCCGAAGCTTTTTTAAGGGTAAAAGGTGAAGTTCCCCATCAAACTACCGTTGGCATTCTTCACAGAATTAGAAAAACCTATTTGAAATTTCATATGGAATCAAAGAAGACCCCATATAGCCAAGACAATCCTAAGCATAAAGAACAAAACTGGAGGCATCACACTACCTGACTTCATTACTGCAGGGCCTCAGTAACCAAAACAGCATGGAACTGGTACCAAAACACACATATAGACCAATGAAGGTGAACATAGACCTCAGAAATACACCACACGTCTACAACCACCTGATCTTCAACAAACCTGACAAAAACAAGCAATGGGAAAGGATCTCATATTCAGTAATAATGTGGGAAATCTGGCTAGCCATATGCAGGAAACTGAAACTGGACCCCTTCCTTACACCTTATACAAAAATTAACTCAAGATGGATTAAAGACTTAAATGTAAAACCCCAAACCGTAAAAACCCTAGAAGAAAACCTAGGCAACAACATTCAGGACATAGGCATGGTGGGCAAAGACTTCATGACAAAAATGCCAAAAGCAATTGCAACAAAAGCCAAAATTGACAATGGGATCTAATTAAACTAAAGAGCTTCTGCACAGCAAAAAAAAAAAAACAAAAAAAACTATCATCAAAGTGAACAAGCAACCTACAGACTGGGAAAAAATTTTTGCAATCTACCCATCTGACAATGATCGAATATCCAGAATTTACAAGGGACTTAAACATGCTTACAAGAAAAAGACAAACAACGCTATCAAAAAGTGGGCAAAGGATATGAACAGACACGTCTCAAAAAAAGACATTTACGTGGCCAAAAAACATACAAAAGAAGCTCAACATCACTGATCACCAGAGAAATGCAAATCAAAACCACAATGAGATGCCATTTCACGCCAATTAGAATGGAGATTATTAAAAAGTCAGGAAACAATAAATACTGGAGAGGATGTGGAGAAATGGGAATGCTCTTACACTGTTGGTGGGAAAGTGAATTAATTCAACCATTGTGGAAGACAGTATGGGCATTCCTCAAGGATCTAGAACTAGAAATACCTTTTGACCCAGCAATCCCATTACTAGGTATATACCCAAAGGAATATAAATCATTCTACTGTAAGGGAACATACGTGTATATATTTATTGCAGCACTATTTACAATAGCAAAGACATGGACCCAACCCAAATGCCCATCACTGATAGACTGGATAAAGAAAATGTGGTACACATACACCATGGAATACTATGCAGCTATAAAAAAGGAATGAGAGCATGTCCTTTGCAGAAACATGGATGAAACTGGAAGCCATCATCCTCAGCAAACTAACACAGGAACAGAAAACCAAATACCGCATGTTCTTATTCGTAAGTGGGATTCGAACATTGAGAACAAATGGACACAGAGAAGGAAACAACACACGCTGGGGCCTGTTGGAGGTTGGGGGGTGAGGGGAGGGAACTTAGATGATAGGTTGAAAAGTGTAGCAAACCACCATGGCATACGTATACCTATGTAACAAACCTGCACGTTCTGCACATATATCACTTTTGTTTGTTTTTTGAAGAAGAAGAAGAAATAAAGAAAAAAAAAGGTGAAGTTCATGTAAATTATTTTAAAATAAACCTCTTTGGCCCCAGAAGCTTATTGCTTGGTATGGACAAATACTCATCGGTGATACTGGCTATTGCTGGGAAGATGTCTTCATAGAAGCGTCGTATCTAAAATTTTTGTAGTTTTCAGGGAGTCCTTGCAATAGTTCTTTTAGAGACATCCATGCATGAAGGGCCTTCTTTTATACTCTCCCAGCTCCATTTTGTTGTGGTTTGACTTCAGTGAGTCAACTTCTTTGCTTGTAACTTTAACATTTCCCCCCTTTGACCAAGAATTTTTTCTGAAAGCATTGCTGATTAATCAGCCTATAGTTAGGTTTTGATTGTTTCTTGGTGCTGGAGTGGACCTTTCCTAGTTAGTCTGATCCTGCATCAGAGGTGAATGGCCAGCAACTAAGAGCAGATGTCAAAACCCTTTTAGTCACATTTAAGAAACAAAGAGGTTCAGAAGGAGTGGCTCTCAGGATAAATCTGCCTGGAGTTCATTGCTAAGTTCAATTTTGTCAGTTCCATAGGCATTGACTACCATTTGGAAGTTCTGGACCAGTGTTATTCTGTTAGATGCATCATTTCTGCAGAGGTTGGACAGGAAACAGATAAAAAGTTTAAAAAGAATGATGCGGTACAAAATTAATAGTAACATGAAATATTGTCTATGAACATGGACCCAAAGGCAGCCAACTAATGAATCAAAAGTCTACGTGAGACTGAGTGAGATCTGTTGTAGCCATAAAGCCTGTCTTGCTATTTTATGCAATTAGGTCTTGACTTCCCCAGAGAAATATATTCAGGTACAGCATGTAGTTATTAGCAATGGCACAGACATTCTTGTTCAACCAGTAGATAATTGAGAGTTATCTCATCCTGTCCTGTTGTGTTATCTACGGCTACTCAGCAAGATACTTTAATGAGCACTGCTGGGCGGCAATAGCCTTTGCAGTGAAGCCTGCAACGAAACCCAAGGTGGCAAATAAATTAGGGATGTTGCCATAGTTACCCACTGGGTGGACTAAAGGATCCCTTAGGTCATGTAAAGATGTGGGTTTGACACGACAGATCCAAAACTTCATTCAGTTACGGAAGCTACTGAATGTGAAATTCTAACCACAGCGTTATTCTGCCAAGTGAAAAATGTAGGCATAAGCAAGAAAAAAAAAAATAAGAAGGATAAGAGTCCAGTTTTGTTACAATGTCTTGGGAAAAGCTTTCCACACTGTGATGTCATCAACTTCTTACTCTGGTTTGTAGTTTGAATGTTCCTGGGTATAGCATGGGGCATTTTAGTCAATTCTCTTTGTAGCCCACACAATAGCCATGAGATTTCTCTCTTGAAATTTACATGGAGTTTTCTGGCTCCAACTTATAGGACTTTAGGAACAAGGCAGTTTATGTTCTTAGTTGGAGAATCGTAGCCAGACGTTGGAGGAAATTAGAATAATTAAGTGCCCTGTCTAATTTAGAGATAGATGACAAAAACTTGAAAACAACAAAGAAAACTACAATCTACTAACAGGTGTACTGCAGTTTTTCTTCAGAAACATAATTTTTCTCTGTACAATCATCCCTATTTCTACTAAAGATAATCAGAGTAAGACTAATTTGTCTGCTGAATAAGTTTAGTCTCATTAAACTTGGCATGATTATTGACAACAGTATAGCAAGAAAAGGGATGAAACATGGGCTGTTTTTAAGTTTATTTTGACGGAACTTTTGATAAGAAATCTCAGATTAGACTTTTAAAAGCCTTTCAAGGGTCAGAAGTCAAAGGAGGGCGAACATCAGACTTTGGCTGCAGTATCTAAAAATCTGCATGAATTTCTCTCTTCTTGAGGTCTCCAATATATCTGGAGGTTCCTGGCCTGTCAAGAGGTAAAAATGTTTATTCACTCACTGTGAGCTTGGGAATCCTTGAAGCTAGGCATCCTGTGCATAGTCTCAAATATCACATTCAAGTCAAACCATTTATAATATAACCAATGTTTGTAATTCTATCCTGTTACAAAGAGAATAGATTTTTATTGAATTAATGCAAATAACTATGTTGCCATAAAATAAAAATATCAATAAGAGCTCTCTGAAGACTGCAGCCGCAGGTAGGAAGAAAAAATAAATATTTCCATTTTTATTTATAAAAGTATACTTTACCAAATTGCTGTATGCTATAGATAGCTTTTTAAAAGTTTTCTCAAATCTGGAAAACAAAAAATTTAAAAAAAACAGCAAAATGTTAAACAAAAAGTCACTCGAAAATATTGCCATCAGTTTGTTTAGTCCCATTCATTAAACTTATTCTACTTGATCTGGGTTAGATGTTTTAAGAAGCCATCGTTTCTTCATTAGAGTCCTGGAAATTCTTTCCCAGTCCAGTGGTATAATCTTAAACTCATAAGAAATCTAAATTCCAGCATACTTGTTAGAGTCCTTTTCATGAACCTCCTTGAAGAGGAAGTATTTTTCTTTATTCATTTTAATTTATTCTCTACAATACTTCATTAGGGAGTTCAATGATTTGCACTCAGAAGTTAAATAGCCAAGAGGCAAGCAAGTATAATAAACTTCAGAATTGGACTGAGGTTGTTGCACTGAAGGCCATGTAGTCTTTTGCTTCAGGGAAATAACAACAAAAATAACCAAAATGAACACATAGCTCCCTAGGCTTCTGAATCTCAATAGAGAATAACATCAACATTTAATGAAATTGTAGATATTAACACATCATGGGAAAAAAGATACTGTGCAAAATATTATAATTAACACTTGGCACTTCTTATGTCTAGATTTTTATTATAAACAATAAAATATATGTAATATCTTAACTACAGACCTTTCATGTTGAAAGGGCATCTAACATAACTTGTTTTAACATTATGAAGGGAAAAAGTTTAGAAATTTCAAAGTGGAAACAATCCAACACTAACAAACTATAGTGATCAAAAGTATTAACTTTTAAAGAAAAACAAGGACAATTCATAAAAGTAGAACTACCATTTGATCCAGCAATCTTACTGGTTATCTACCCAGAGGAAAAGAAGTCATTACACAAAAAAGATACTTGCACATGCACGTTTATAACAGCACAATTAGCAATTGCAAAAATGTGGAACCAGCCTAAATGCCCGTGAATCAATGAGTGAATAAACTGTGGTATATATTTATGTGTGTGTGTGTGTGTGTGTGTGTGTGTGTGTGTGTGTATGTATATGTATATATATATGCATATGTGTATATATATATATATGCATAAATACATATATGTGATGGAATACTACTCAGCCATAAAAAGGAATGAATTAATGGCATTCATAATAACCTGGATGGAATTGGAGACTATTATTCTAAGTGAAGTATCTCAGGAATGGAAAACCAAACATTGCATGTTCTCACTCTTAAGTGGGAGCTAAGCTATGAAGATGCAAAGGCATAAGAATGATACAGTGGACTTTGGGGACTCAAGGGAAAGAGTGGGAAAGGCATGAGGGGTAAAAGACTACAAATTGAGTTCAGTGTATACTGCTCGGGTGATGTGTGCACCAAAATCTCACAAATCACCACTAAAGAACTTACTCATGTAACCAAATACCTCATGTTCTCCAAAAACCTATGGAAATAAAAAATTTAAAAAATTACAGAAAGGGAATGTATTATGAGACAAGCCACGTTTATAGACCAAAGCATGCTCATAGCTAGGGATGAAACAAACCACAAACCAAGCCAGCAAAGTTGGGTTGATTCCTTGAAAAGAATGGTTACCTATTGTCCAGATTGAGTAGCCCAAAGACAGAGGAAACACTGAGCGTAAAACATTCCCTCTTTTTTAATTAGCCGGGCGTAGTGGCGGGCGCCTGTAGTCCCAGCTACTTGGGAGGCTGAGGCAGGAGAATGGCGTGAACCCGGGAGGCGGAGCTTGCAGTGAGCCGAGATCCCGCCACTGCACTCCAGCCTGGGCGACAGAGCGAGACTCCGTCTCAAAAAAAAAAAAAAAAACAAAACATTCCCTTTTTTTTAAACCTACCACTCACACCACATGCACTGATCACTCTCATCACTGCTTTGGTAAAGCATGTAGGATGCAGTTCAGTTTCAATTTGGAGCTGTTACCTCCCCAGGCAAAGCTGCCACACAGATGATCCAGGCTTGGTGTTTTTCCCGAGAGCCACCTGCCACACATTTTCATAAGGTGACCATGACTATGCACATCCAGGCTACTTCCTGACTAGGCCCTGTTCAGGAAGCATCCTGAGGTGTCCATTCCTCGTGGAGCCAAATAGTTCCCTTGGTTGACTCCTGAGTCCCCTTGGCAAGCCAAGCAGAATTCAAGCATTTCTACTGCTAGCCTTGTGTGGGAGCATGAGCGAATGTAAAGGGAGCAAGGCTCTTCACTCCATAAACCACAGCCTACTTCGGGGTGGTGCTGGACCAGCCCTATTCTTGGGTACTGAATTTCTTTTTCTCATTTGTTGGGATTTTAAATTTTCTATTTATTTTCTTAAATGGCAGGTATCCTACTGCATCTTCAATAAAATAAAATATATACATATATATGTTGTACACTGGAGAAAACAAATAGGGGAACAGTTTGATAGTTTAGCCCCATTTTTTGCTTTTATTTAACCTTTAGAAGTAAAACACAATTATTAAAACAGAATGCTTGAGCAGTAATAAGCGTAGCCCTATGTATCAATATTATTGTACAAATTGGATGTGGGTGCTTAACCCAGAGCTGACCACCCTGATAATAATCCAGAAAAAAACCATTGTTACATCTGTTTGTAACAAGACATTTATTATTCTCAGCACCAGGACATCATAAAATGACTCCTTGATCTTCATTTACTTCACCAAGGGAAACGTGGCAGGCTACAGAAACTCAGCACAGCAGTTAGTGGGGCTGTGCCCTGGGTGCCCTGATGTCACCCACATTTCCCTTGCACGTCTCAGGTCCTAATAAGCAGTGCAGGACAATGTTGAGCCAACCTACTCACCCGTGCCCATTCCTTCCCAGAAACTTAAAGGTGATCCCTATAATAGCACATATGTCCTTTCCCAAATTGTGTCTTTGCTCCCCTAACCCCATTCTTGGCAGAAGAAAAAACAAAACATCTCTTGACTTGAATATTTGCTTATTTTAGAAACCGACACAATCACCATAAACTTAAAAAAAAAAATAAATCAAAATGTTGTTTTCACTGGGTTGACACCTATCTGCTTCAAGAATTCTCTAAGCATGTTGTTGAAAACCAGTGTAACATCTTTAGGATCTTTCTCCCAACTGACCAGTCTTCCTGTGAATCATTTCAGCAGTTCCTTTGTGGCAATGTTTACAAAGCATCTTCTAAGTCCTCTAATTCTATGAGCTTTGCTATCAAAATAGTGAAGAATAGGAAAGGGGGAGGAAAAAACTAGCTGACAGCTGTTTGGAAATCAGCAACAATGTGAAAGAGAAATGTATCTCATGAAAGTTTGAAAGACATGGAATAAATGAGCTCCTTGGAAATTTGCCCTGGCGGAGTGAAGATTCCCACTTTATCTTCTTAGGCAAGATAAAGATCCACCTTATGTAATTACACAGCTTTGTTTAAGCATCCTGTAAAAGACTGAAAAATCAACTGTCTTCCTAACTCTACAGGCAAACTAGAAAAAGGATCTCCCTGCTTACTGGTCCCTCAGGATGTTTTCCTGAAAAGAAAACCAGCTTAGAGATACTGGATTTTCTTCTATGACAAAGTGTCCTCTTAAAGTCCAACCGAAACTTGTTTGCACACTTACACTTCTGAAAGCCTAGGTCCGACTATAGGGCTGATACCGGGAGAGAAGTGAAGTAGCTGGGTGGTGAGGAAGTGGTCTCTCCTTTCACATCTCTGTGCAGTCATGATATCAAGACCCCTTGTGGACATCTCTATTCCATTCCTCAGTCAGTGACACCACAGAGCTCTGTTTGATACCGGGAGACTTAATGCAGTAAAAGTGACAGAAAGTGCAACTGATAGTAGGATGAAAATTATAATCTTCAAGGATTAGTGAGCCATGAGATCTGCAATGCTATCGTAGGGTTTCTGATCCTGATGTGGGTCTCTGTCCAGGATCCTTGAAGAAATTATGGCACCCACATCCAACCCTAACATAGCTTCCACTTATGAAACAAGGAGGTTGTAATCAACTCTTGGTATGTAATAAACTGGAAGTTCAAAAATGTAATTTAAAACAATCTAAAAGAATGTAGTGTTGGTCTCCATTGCACAGACTGCTAGGGGAATATATCAACTTGATTTGGGGAGGCTGTAGAGGTATATAGAGGAGTATATGGGTTAAACCTTAATGGGTCATCAGTTTCAGAGAAGAAGCAATTTTTTATTGTAGCTGATGGCAAATGCTTTTGGAAAAGAATGAAAGCAGTCGGTCCCTGTGGATGACAGACTTAGAGTGGCCATGGTTAAAAATCTCATGGAGTTTATTATAATAATAATGTAATTGACAAAGAAATTTGTTTATTTCTGTGGCATACAAAACTTGAAGATAATAACCAAGATTATGACCGATAACATATCAGATTTTGAAGAATTCAATATAATTTTGTAACACATATCAATAACATTCTGAAATACAACTTAAAGAAGGTTTAGCACCACTTAGTATTTGACAATACTCCCTATATAATTTAATATATCAAGTAAGTCTCATTAGTTTAATATATCTCTTTACAATGTGAGATACACATTCTTTGATCTTTCCAGGGGTCCAAATGAGAAATATCAAAATTAACTTGAGGGCAAAAAGAGTTAATTTAAAATATTATTTTGGGAAGTTTGTCAAAAACATCAAACAGTTTAAAACACTTTATCAGAGTACGATAACAGGTAACCAAAATGAAAATTAAAAGATTTCAAAAAATAAATGTAGAAATTTACATAATTGTCAACAAAAACATAGCTTTTTAATACTGAGAACATTTACTTTTCTCTTTTTTTAACTTTTATTTTAGGTTCAGGGGTACACATGTGGGTTACTTACGCATTTATATGGGTAAATTGTGTGTCACGGGGTTTGGTGTATAGATTATTTCATAACCCAGATAATAAGCATAGTACCCAGTAGGTAATTTTTAAATTTTCATCCTCCTTCCTCCCTCCACTCTAAAGTAGGCCCAGTGTCTGTTGTTCCATTTGTGTCCATATGTACTCAATGTTTAGCTCCCCTTATAAGTGAGAACATATGGTATTGGGTTTTCTAGGATAATGGCCTCCAGCTCCACTCATGTTGCTGGAAAAGAGATGATCTCATTCTTTTTATGGCTGCATAGTATTCCATGTTGTATATCTACCACATTTCTTCATCCAGTCTACCACTGATGGGCATTTAGGTTGATTCCATGTCTTTGCTATTGTGAAAAGTGCTGCAATGAACATACACGTGCATGTGTCTTTATGGTAGAATGATTTGTATTTCTTTTGGTATATACTCAATAGTAGGATTGATGAGTTGAATGGCACTTCTGCTTTGAGTTCTTTGAGAAATGGCCACACTGCTTTCCACAATGGCTGAACTACCTTACATTCCCACCATCACTGTATAATCATTCCCTTTTCTCCACAACCTCACTAGCATCTCTTATTTTTTGAGTTTTTAATAATAGCCATTCTCATTGGTGTGAGATGGTATCTCATTGTGGTTTTGATTTGCATTTCTCTAATGATTAGTGATGTTGAGCATTTTGTCATATGCTTTCTGGCCACATGTATGCCCTCCTTTGAAAGTGTCCGTTCATGTACTTTGTGTACGTTTAAATGGGATTGTTTGTTTTTCACTTGTTGATTTTTTTAAGTTCACCAGATGCACTGTGCTGGGGTTCTGTGATAGTCCCTAATTGCTGTGCACCCTCCCAAGCCTGAGAGCAGCAGGAGGGAGGGTTGCGAGACAGCAAAAAGGTGGACTGCCTCTCTCTTTGGGAGCTGCATGCCGGAGAAGTGTAGAGCTGCTCCCAGCTGGAGAACTCAGGAGGACTAGGGTGGCCTCACTAGCATCCCAGGCTAGTGGGCCTTATCCTACAAGGTTCAGTGGTGGTGAGGTCTGCAGTCTATCACTGCTCAGCCCCATGGACTTGGCCCCTTTTCTGGGGAGCGTGCAAGAAAACTTGGCCTTCCCAATTGCTGGAGCTGCAGCCCCTGGTTTTGGGGTACCCAGGGAACAAATGCTACTGGGACTCCACACCTACCTAAGAAGCAGCTCTACCCAGACTCCACATGGCTCTCTGTTTTGGTCTGGAGACCCCAGCTGGGGTATCTCCTGAGCCCAGGGATTCAAAGGTTCGTGGCAGAAATATGCATCCCACGGGACTCTCACTCACTCACCATTTTCTTGTAGGGGGATTCCCCTGGGTCTGTGCCACTCCTGGGTGAATGGCTGATCTGTCTCACTCTTCTCCGTGATCCGAAGGTCACACTATGTCACTGATGAATCCTTATGTGTCCACCTGGATGTTCCGGTTGAAGAGCTAGTGTCTCACCACTCTTTCTGCTATTTGTGAGAGTGGCACACACTAGCTGCTTCTAGTCAACCATCTTGGCCCCACCTCACTCACTTTTCTCAAGTAATCAAAGACCTAGTAAAAGAGAGCATAAAGCATAAGAAATTACCTTGATAAACAAAAAATCTTGGTTTATTAGGCCAGTTATCTAAAAGGTAGAGAAAACATTTCACTATTTTCTATTAAGAGCAGGTCAATACTCAAAGAAAAGCTTGTTGTTTCAGCACAGGGGACAAATTTCAAGTTTTCCATTCCTGTACTTTTGATAATAATGCTCAAGTTTTCAGAATATTTATAAATAATTTCCTTTTAACTTTAGCCAACTTGGTCACACATAAAATTCTTTTCACAAGATTAATCTTCCACAAACTTTCTATAAATTTGTCATCCAGTTATCTTATTCAGTTTTTGTCTATATTTTTTCTCTTTTTCTTTTTGGAACAGTAAGACATTCTACTTTTAGACAAAAAATACTCTCTTTTTCCCTTAACAAAAACACAACCTCTTACTTATAACTTTCTTTATGTGTTTTCCTTCCCTCGCGTACAGATTTGTTTCCCTTCATTATTTCTAGTTTAAATTACTCTAATATTAATTTTAATTAACTCTTAGTAACCTTAATTTCTAGTGAAAATTAGTAAGCATTTTGAAGTGCATCATGTTAGTATTTTGCAGATGAACACCATCTCATAAAATAATTTTTATGCCTTTAATTAACAGGCCCAAATATGTTTAGCTTTTCCATAACATGTGAAACCAAGATGCCAAATTACGTATATTTTAAACTTCTGTTAAGCAATTGATATTTCAGTATTTTCCTTAGAAATGACTCAAATATTAAATCAGTAAAGTGTTACTTAATTTAATATAACATGATTTTAAGATTTCAAGTCACACTAAATTATTTTTGAAATTCTGACAACTTTATTATCAACCTTTTGTCAATGTATATTCACCTAATTCACTTGTTCTTAACAATTGTGCTTCAGTTCCTCCTTAAACACAACGATGAGTGGATTTATAGCTTTAAGACATTCATTATACATCTCAGTAATAGCAAGCTTGTTTCACCAGTAACTTTAGGTTTAAAAACTGTATCTGTACATTGTAATTAATGCTGACAATTCTGAAAATATTTGTTTTTATTTTGCCAACAAATTTTAAAACTAGCTTTGTCTGCCAAAGATTATTTCATCACATAAGCCAAAAGGCAATTGAGTTTCTGTTTTTCTGAGAGAATTCTTAGTTTAAACACTTATGTTTTCTCTGTAAGCCAATTAAGTAGAGCCGTTTATGAATTTTGGTAGAAAAAATTGTACATACGCACACACACACACACACACGTAGAAAAATACAGACAGAGGAAGAACTTACAACTTGCATTAAGAATTGTTATTTGCCTGGCTTGCAAGTAGTTTTACTCCCTCTTTCAGACTATCTGTCTTTTAATGATCTGTTCAATTGGCCCATAAACAAGTGTTAGTTAGGCCACCCAAAATTTGTACTTCCAAAGAGATGATTTTTAGGTGAAGGAATGTAGAAAATTTAAATCTCAAAGGTACAGAACTTAAACACCACTATTTGTTGAGATGAAAAAAAGCATATATAGGAAGCCTTCAAAATGAAATGGTCAAGGGTGAGTTTACACAGATAGATAGATTTAGGTCTCTTCCTTTTGCTTTGTGAAAGCATCTAGTGTTTAGGTGTCAGAGAGGGAGATATCCTTACAAAGCAGAGATTATCATTACAGGTTTACATTTCTTACAAAGAGTTTCAAAATAAACAGGTAAATGCCAAAAACATATATTTTGGAGACGGATTAATTCACTAGTTGGTCTATTCAACTTAACTTGTTTCCTAATGAGATTAAATTCATGCACAAATAACCAAACCAAAAATTAAACCAAAAGAATACTCACCAGAAAGGATGTCCTTTACAAGAGCAGATCCCCCAAAATGTAAGAGTTCACTGAAAAGGTGGGAGCTCAAACCAAGAGAGGACTTATCTCGCAGCATAAAGACAACTTGTACAAGTGAAGATCACAATAGGCTCAGGTGAGTATCATACACAATTTCAAGTATCGCCAGATACTTGAAAGCCTTCCAAAGGCTTTCTTTGTTACTGTTTGGATAACAGTGCTGTAACTGTAAGTAACAAAGAAGGCTTGGAGCCTTTGCATCTTGCTTCTGACATTAGATTATGTCAACTTAAACAACAGAGATACTGACTCTCTAAAATAAAGAGTGGAGTGTATTCAGGAAATAGCAGTAAATTGCAATTTGAAATACACATGCTATGGTGGACCTTAGGCACCAAAGAAGCTGAGGGACTGTATTAGTTTGTTCTAGCACAAAGAACTACCTGAGACTTGGTAATTTATGAAGAAAAGAGGTTTAATTGACTCATGATTTCATAGGCTGTACAGGAAACATGATTGGAGGAGGCCTCAGGAAACTTACAATGATGGCAGAAGGCAAAAAGGAAGGAGGCACGTCTTACATGGCCGAAGCAGGGGGAAGAGGGCAAAGGGGAAATACCACACACTTTTCAACAAGCAGGTCTCATGAGAACTCACTATCACAAGAACAGCAAGGAGGAAATCCACCCCCATGATCCAATCGCCTCTCACCAAGCCCCTCCTCCAACATTGGGGATTACAATTCGACATGAGATTTGGGTGGGGACACAAATCTAAACCATATCAGGAAGGCAAAAATCTTAAAAGAGAAATTTTATGTAAGTTTTGTAATAAACCTCATGGGCCAGAGAAGCTTGTTACAAGAGTTGGCAAATACTCATTGATAATATTGGCTGTTGCTGGAGAGATGTCTTCATAGAATTATCATATCTAACATTTTCGTGGTTTTTGAGAGAACCATTGCAGCAGTTCTTATTATAGACATATGTACATGAAGGCCCCTCTTTCATGGCCTCCCAGCTTCATTTTTTTATGGTTTGATGTAAGTGACTCCATTTTGGTGCTCACAACTTCCACATTTCTCCCTTTTGGTTGAAATATTTTTCTGAAAGCATTTCACACTTAAAAGATATAGATTGGCCGGGCATGCTGGTTCATACCCGTAATCCCAGCACGTTAGGAGGCGGAGGTGGGTGGATCACCTGAGGTTGGGAGTTCGAGACCAGCCTGACAAACATGGAGAAACCCCATTTCTACCAAAAATACAAAATTAGCTGGGCGTGGTGGCACGTGCCTGTAATCCCAGCTACTCAGGAGGCTGAGGCAGGAGAATCACTTGAATCCAAGAGGCAGAGGTTGCAGTGAGCTGAGATCACGCCATTGCACTCCAGCTTGGGCAACAAGAACGAAACTCCATCTCAAAAAACAAAAACAAAAACAAACCAACAAAAAATGAAATAATTGTAAAAACCAACCATAGTTCTCAGTAATGATAGTTTCATTTCCGTCAGCTATTAGTAGAGTTAATTAACTCCTATCAACCTCACATTTTCCATTTAAAAAATACAGGAGAAAAAGTTTGATGTGGGTTTAATGAGAAAACTTATATAAAATAGATCTAACTACTATATTTATCACAAAACAGATGCACAAACTATGTTTTTTTCCTCTCACTTGTTCTTATTTTATATATCATTTTAATTGAGGAAATCATTGAGCATAATGTAACAAATATTTTCATAAGTTATTATAAAGAGGGTTTGAAGGACTTGTTAGAAAGTGTCTGGCAGTGGAAAAAACATCTGAATAGAAAAAGAAAATAGCATGTGAATGCTGAAATAGCGTATTAAATAGCTGCAACTCTAATATAATTTACATTTGGATTTTAGTATAGACAGAATACTTAAATTTATTTCTGCAGTCTTTTCAGTTGTTAAACATTTTATTGAACTCTTCATGTGCCTTTCAGATGTATTGTGCTTCAAGTGTGCTTGTACCAGCTTTTTCTGTTTAGAAATGCTTGAGTGTCTCCATTGTCAAAACGATCAGAAGGCAGTAATTGTATTTCCAATGTGAGGACAAACAATACTAGATATCCTGCGATCCTACATTGTAAAAAATATTCCCATCAAATGCCCCAATGGATAGCCACGTAAGTGATCATCTGTAATTATTTAGTCAAGAAATGAATATTTTACATGTAAATACTTTGAATGGCTTAATACAAACTAAATTTTTCAGAATGCAACCACTACGGAAATTGAAGAGAAAAAGTCTTTTTATTGTAGAAACTTCCCAGAGTCTTTCAATATTTACAAAAATTATGTTGCCAATGGCAATACCTTAGTTATTTGAATCACCAGTAGAACACACTATAAAAACATGCATTGTCACATCTGTACCCTGTCACATCCAGGATAACGATAATATTGAGATATATAACTATTTAGCCCTTATTTTAAAACATCAGGTAACAAGCATCAATCAATTTCTATCAAATGTTTCAACTTGGGTATTACAGCATAAGCAGAAATATACTGTTACCAATATCCCAGCCAATTTCTTTTCCTAATGAAACAATAAAACTGAGAATATAGAGACCATTTAGTAAAGCTGATATATATATATATGTTTGCATATGTGTGTGTGTGTATATATACATATAAATGTAATTAATACAGTAGATGAGGTCAAAGAAGCAAGTGATACACAACTTTTAATTTGGATGGGATGTCCTTGAAGATTCCTGTATTAGTCCTTTCTCACATTCCTATATGAAAATACCTGAGACTGAGTAATTTATTAAAGAAAGAGGTTTAATTGACTCACAGTTCCCTATGACTGGGGAGGCCTCAGGAAACTTACAATCGTAGTGGAAGGTGAAAGGGAGGCAGGCACTTTCTTCACAAAATGGCAGGAAAAAGAAGGATGGAAGGAGGAACTTGCCGAACAGTTGTAAAACCATTAGATCTCGAGAGAACTCACTCACTGTCATGAGAACAGCTTGGGAGAAACCACCTCCATGATTCAATTACCTCCACCTGGTCTCTCCCTTGACATGTGGGGATTATGGGGTTTACAATTCACCATGAGATTTTGAGTGGGGACACAGCCAAACCATATCAACTCCTAAATCTTAATACACTTTATTACTAGCTGATATGATTTGGATCTGTGTCCCTTACCAAATCTCATGCCGAATTGTAATCCCCAGTGTTGGAGGTGGGGTCTTGTGGGAGGTGACTGGATCATGGGGGCAGATTTCCCCCTTTGATGCTGTATCATGATAGCATCCTCATGAGATATGGTTGGTGAAAGTGTGTGGCACCTTTTCTCTTCCTCTCAGTCCTGCTTCTGCCTTGCAAGATTCGTGCTTCCACTTTGCCTTCTGCCATGAGTAAAATCTCCCTTTAGCCTCCCCAGAAGCAGATGCTGCTATGCTTCCTGTTCAGCCTGCAGAACTGCGAGCCAATTAAACTTCTTTGCTTTATAAATTACCCCATCTCAAGTGTTTCTTTATAGCAGCAGTGTGAGAACAAGCTAATACACTAGCCTTCTTGAATACATCTTAGCAAGCTCTCGAGCAGCGTAACGACATAGATTAGAGAAGGCCAAAACTGACAGATTCCCATCTTGACCAAAGTTTAATCATTCTTCTCCAGTCCCTCTTCTCAGGCCCAGTTTAACAAAGACGCCTGCTAAGCCAGTTCACTGAGAATCACTTCGCCCTTGATATCTTATCACTTTGGCATGCCTTTAGCAATAATGCAGTTTAGCAAGAACCCCGCTCCCCGCCACCCCACCCCCCGCCACCCTTAATATCTAATTAGTTTCTATCCACTGACTCACTCCCTCAGCTCTTTGCTTATAAATTTCCAGCTCCATGCTGGGAGAAATTTTAGTTCAATCTCTCTCTACTATAGCTATATTATTCCCCCATTGCTATAGTCCTGAATAGTCTTCCTTGCTATTTTTAACAAGCATCCAGTGTACACATTTCCTTTTGACAAAACATAGTGTCCATATGTAGAGGGAAGAGGAAAGCTAACAAAATATAAAGTCATCCAAACCACACACACCTTGGACAAGCTTATCATGTGTGGGAATAAAATGCTGGAGGTGGGTTTGGCTTCCCCCCAAAAAAAAAAGTGTGTAATTTGAAATTTCATATCAAGAACAGTTAAATTCCCAGATTCTTTATCATTACTGAATACCTTAGTAATTATTCTTCATTTAACACAACAGGAAATAGGAGATTTATTTTCTGGAGAGACTTGTCCAATTAAAGTGGGGATATGGTTGCTCCGTTGAGCAGAAATTTGGCTTATATAGACCCAAAGCTCAGAAAAAGAGTTATAGATCTAAAATGACAATCATTGAGACAATAAAGTTCATGGAAACCACGATGGGAAGCATCTACGTGGAAATAAAAAGTTGGATTTTCAGTAGAGAAATTGGTAACAATGTAAATTTCCTCTTAATGTCAGGTGAGAACTAATTCTGAAGTCAGAGGAGGAAAGTAGCCTACAACAAAGAGTAAGATCATCTTGACAGGATCAGGGAGAAAGATAATAGTTGCAAATGGAGACAGGTATATTGATTTAGTGCCAGGTAGTTGAAAGACTACGAGTATAAAGACTTATATTTTTCTCTGTGTTGCAGTAGCAAAGTCATCTGCAGAGAGAGAGAAGTGAGAAGGGAGAAGAGAGTGTCAGAAATTAGAGGATTGTAGAGATTGAAAAAGTTATGTCAGGCACAATTGAAAACCCGGTTTCCAATGGTGATCATCGTCTTAAAATATTATCAGTTTGTTTTCTTGCATGACATTCTTCAGCAGCAGTCATGGACTGAGAAATATGCAGAAATCAGATAGTTGGGTTCATCTAGAGAAGAGGTTGCAATGTGCTTCTAAAAAGGACAAAACCAAAAGCAACCGAGAGAGAGAAAGAGAGAGAGAGAGAGAGAAAAATGAAGATGTGAAAGGGGATAGGTCAAAACTCAGTAATTTTTTTTTAAGCAAAGGGCCAGATAGTAAATATTTTTATTTTGTGAGCCATATTGTCTCTGTAGGAAGTACTCAGTTCTCCCATGTTCTGCAAAAGCAACCATGGACAATAAGAAAATGTGGCTGCGTTCCAATAAGAATTTATTTAAAAAATAGGAGATGGATTGTATTTAGCCCAAGGGAAGCAGTATGTCAATTCTGGTTTTATGTTACTGGCAATTACATTTTAAAATATTCAGTAATTGAATCTACAATATCGATTCCCAACTATTGCTGCATATTAGTATCATAATAGAATGCCAGGTCCCAGAGACACTGGGTCAGCCAATCTCAATTGGGGCCAAGGCACTCATATGTATCTTTGGAACCTCCTCAGGCAATTCTAACATAAAGCCAGTGTTGAGAAGAGCCATTGTTAGTTTGCTTGTGGGAGTAACTGACCGCAGGAGGATCATAATGCTATAGGCAAAGGCTGAGGCACCAGTGGATTGAAAGTCTTAGTGAGGCAGGAGAACAGCTGCAGTGGGAATTGTTGCCACACTGAACAGACAGGAGATTGATCAAAGAGTGGTGTGCTTATTTAGTCATTTAAGAGGAATATCATGTTTTGTCATTATACATTTCATGGGTTTGGTAAGCAGCCTCTAAAATTGCTCCATGTCACTTGTACCCCTGGTAGAGGTAACTCCTTGAGGAATCTTCTACTCTGTTGTCCTAGTTGAATTTATCTCACTTCACTATCAAATAGACTGTGGCAGAAGTGATGGATATCACTTCCAACATTAGATTGCACAAAGACTGTGGCTTCTGTCTTGGGAATCCTCTCTCTCTCTTTCATTGTAAGGGAAGCTGACTTCTATGTTGGGCGCTGCCTATTAAGAAGTCCACATAGCACGGAGCCAGTGTCACCAGTCACAGCCAGCAAGGAAGGACCTGGGGACTGCCCCCAGCCACATGATTAATCTTAGAAGTGAATCTTCCCTAAGTAAGGCTTTTAAATGATGGCAGCCTTATGAGAGTCCTTGAGCTAGAGGGCCTTACTAATTCTGATATAGTTCTTGACCCAGAGAAGTTGGCATAATGAATGTTTGTTGTTTTAATCCACTAAGTTTTGGAGGTAATATGTTAAGCATCAACAGATAACTAATAAAAGGAGTGATTCTGAGCAAGAAAGGCTTAAGTGGAGGGAAGCTAAGGTCGAATAGTTTATGAATATCATCCTGTAAGAATACAGGGCTTGGAGCTTTGAAGGTGGGAGCAGAAAAAAATTTATGTAAGCTTGTCATTAACAATATGACTAAAAAAGTTCATTATACTGAAGGATAAATGCTTACATGTGCCTCAGAGAATAGATGTTTTTATTCCCGGGAAGAAAGATAAACTTTTTCAAAAAACATAAAGATTAAGTAGGATGCAGTTTCCAGCTTTGGATTCTGACATTCAGGACATGGGGAGGGTGATGAGCTTCTCCTGGAGGACTGAATTTAGGACACAATCAAGTTCATGATGGAAGCCCTTATGAGGTAGAGAGGGAGTGCATCTCAGCTCTTTCGATTAATTAAATGATTGCTTGAATTGGAGAAGGTGTGGGTATTTTGTGT